>NC_000003.12:131432846-131584361 GCF_000001405.40 Homo sapiens | reverse complement strand
AGCGAGGTCCAGTTTATGAGGAAGTTTTCAAAATTTGGTTTCAAAAACTGGTACTCAGAGGAGAGGTTTACCCGTAAATATATTTTAGGAGCCATCAACTAAGAGAGGACATTTAAAATCAAGAGAATGGATGAGTACACCTAGGGAGAGGGGACTGAAGAGAAGGTACAGGAGGCTCGAACCCTGAGGAATCTCAGTATGTAGCATCAGAGAAAAAAAGAGGAGAGAACATCTTTCAACTTTCCTTTTCCTGTGGGAGTTATGATTCTATAGGTACAGGGTAAATTCTTAATTAACCTTGATTAATTCTTGAATAACATTTATAAGTATCCTTAGTTTGGGGTGGCCAAAGGGGATACTTGCAAGAATAGGAGAGCTACTCCAAGACCTTCTAGAAGAAGGCATTGTGGTTAATAGTGCAGGCTTTGGAATGAGACTGATGTGGGTGTGAATCCCAGGTCTACCAGTTACTACCTGTATGACCTGGGAAAGTTCTTTCTCTTCTCTGAGCCTCATCTTCCATCTGTCAAAGTGGGCTGTGGGGAGAGTTAAATGGGATTGGGAAAGTAAAGTGCATAGCCCATAGTTATATGCCAACTTCATCCCAAGACAGATGCAAACTATTTAGATCTGGTCCATCAGGACCCCCTACCCACCTCACAAGTACAAGGACCCCAAGTATCTACGGGTTTGATTCAACTTCCTTGGAGCCCTCTCCTGACTAAGCCAACCCATACTTGCTCATCTTAGCCTGAGAAGGAAGTGAGTAGACTTTTCATGGATGATCACTATAATTTTTAATAGAATTCAAAATCTTTAACTCAATATATCCTGCTTGATAGAAGAAATTGAGATTAATAGAAATCATTGAGAATGACAAAAAATGGCACAGCTAATTTTAGTGTCTTTTCTTTCCAACTGTTTGGTAAATCCCTAAACCACCTGTTTTACTGAAATATTAGAGGAAGCTTTGGGGCAAAAGACAATATCAGTTTTGATAGGTTTGGGAGGAACTTGGGCTCTTTTGTCCAGAAATACTAAATCTACTTTGAGATGGACTATAATTCTTGTTTATCAAGTTCTACCCACTTGGAGAGTAAATGAGAAGAAAATCTGAGGGAGGAAAGAAAGACAACATTCATTATGGACAGATTAGGAGATTAGGCCTTTAAATGACAAAAACAAGGCTAGGGGTCTGATTTTAGATTCTGCTTTGAATGTTTTCTTCTTTCTTTCTTTCACCCAAGAATTCCATATTTTGAAGGAGTCATAGAGGACTCTTCACTGGTATAAGATCTCCCTCTTCCAAATCCTATGTAGTTGCCCAGTCCTGCTGGCACCTTCCAGTGATGAGAAACTACAGTATCAGTTATCTGTTGCTGAGTGAAAAAATTAGCCCAGAACTTCCTGGCTGAAAACAACAATCACTATGTACTCAACATTCGCTAGGTTGGCAGTATTGGCTGAATTCTTCTCTGCTTCACATAGTGCTCCACGTGGTGCCAACAGAACTCACTCGTGCATTTGTGCCTCAGCAGCCAGGATGGCCAGGATATTTCTCCAGGTATACTTTTATCCTCCTGGAGACCATTGTAGGCTTTTTAATATGGCCCTGAAAACTTCCCAGAAGCAAGAGAGGAGCCAGCCCCAATACACAGGCGCTTTTCAAGCCTCTGCTTATATCACATTTCCTAATGTCCCATTGGCCAAAATGAGTCATGTGACTAAATGCCTCATCATTGTGGGAGGGAGCTACACAAATGCATGGACACTGAGAGGAATAGATTATGGGAGGCCACTGCTATATCAGCCTATCCATTTGCACCTGCCTCAGAAACTACTTCATTTTCAGACACTTCTAATTCTCAGGTAGTGAAATTTTGTCTCTTGAGTAGAAATCCAGAGATTCAGCTTTCATAGGTTGGTGGGCAGGAACATTCAACAACTCTTGGATATTTGATTCACAATTGGTTTTGTCCCATTAAATCTTCTGTAGGCTGGAGACCTATTCCCCTTAGTTCCCAGCTGACTCCTTAATTCCCAGCCACTCCTGTAGCTCTGATCTTATCCTTCAAAAAGGCCCCTTTGGAGATCTACTGTGTCACTTTTGGGACATAAGCCAATCCATTATTTTAGTTCTCCATGAAGTTCTATGTTAATTTATTATTGTCCCTAGTAAATTTCTCTAGCCAGCATTCACTATTCCTAACCTTTTGAGTCAATTCTCAGGCAGTAAGCCTTAGTACTTGGTCATCACTCAACTGTGTTCCTGCAGATTTCTTCTTCCCTGTACTGCTTTATTTGACCATATTAATAGTAAGCATTGACATGTGCCAGGCCCTGTTCTAAATTTATTACAAGGATTAATCAGTCTTCACAATAATCCTATGAGATAGAGTATAATTATAAGCTCCATTTTGCAGAGAAGACATTCAAGACATAGAGCAATCAAGTAACTTGCCAAAAGTCACATAAGCAGGGAAGCGGAGTTGCTGGGGTTCAAACCTAGAAGTCTGACAGTGAGTATCACTCTCAACCACTCCCCCTATTGCTCCTCTAGATGCAAGAGTTACCACCTAGAGACTATTTGTCAGCCCTCCAGTTCAGTTTGTCCTCAGCAGCACCTAGGAGCTTGGCCTTATTGAAAGACTCAGCTTTTTCCTGAACAGATTCTCATGCTATGACCCTTCTTTCAGGTGCAGTGGGAGTGCATCAATCCCAAGTACAAAGCCAAGAAGAAGAATTACAAGAACTCAGGCACTGTGATTCTGAATCTGTGCAAGGTATGTACACAACCCTCTCTTCCAGGAGTATGAAGCTAGGGCTATCTGAGAGGAAGAGTTCAGGTGGTGTGGTCAGAGGAAAAGAGTATCAAAAAGATGTGATCTTTTAAAATAAAAATTAAAAAGTCATGTATTAAAGAACATAAAATGAGAAATGTAAGCATGGGTGGTCATGGAGCTGTGGCAGCGCAGTGTCACTGTCCTCTCCCCAGGGACAGTCCTGCCCCAAAGACAGGAGAGTTCCGCTGATAGGTTAGGATCATCTCTGCCCAGAGCAGTGCTAGAGGGAGATCTCCAAATGGGGAAGCCAACATTTCTAGAACACCTACTATGTGCCCTTCACGGTGTCCAGTGGTTGTTTTGTTTGGTTTGGTTTGGTTTTGGTTTTGTTTGTTTGCTTTGTTTTGGGACAGAGTTTTGCTCTGTCACCCAGGCTGGAGTGCAGTGGTGCGATATCGGCTCACTGCAACCTCTGCCACCCAGGTTCAAGTGATTCTTCTGCCTCAGCCTCCCAACTAGCTGGGACTACAGGTGCCCGCCACCACGCCCAGCTAATTTTTTCTATTTTTAGTAGAGATGGGGTTTCACCATGTTAGCCAGGATGGTCTTGATCTCCTGACCTCATGATCCGCCTGCCTCAGCCTCCCAAAGTGCTGGGATTACAGGCATGACCCACCGTGCCCAGCCTGTCCAGTGTTTTATATGTGGTACCTTATTCATACTGAAAGCGTACCATAAAAACAAGACAACAGGCAAAGATTAAAGGGCTTACGAATTCCTTCCAGAGGGGCTACAACTTTGCAGAGAATCACATGTGCTAATAATTAAACTTCTTAACTCAAATCTGGGAGTGATGCTGACACTAGTTGAGTACTTACTATGCAAAAATAACTATAATAAACTCTGTTTAATTCTTACCACAACCCTGAGATGTCTACTTTCAATTGAGGTTATGTACCTAGCTCAGAGTCACACAAGTAGTAAATTTAAGAGCTGAGATTTTAACCCACGTGTCTCTGACTCCTCCATACAGGACTCAATTGCTATCCAGATGATTGTTGTGTGTGCATGTTGTGTGTGTGTGTGCGTGTGTGTGTGTATACAGGCATACATATATGTGTATATGTATATGTATATGTATATGTATATGTATATGTATATGTATATGTATATGTATATGTATATGTATAGAGGCCAATGTCAGGGATATTTTGGGTTCTATTCCAAACCAATGCAATAAAGCAAGTCATACACATTCTTTCATTTCCCAGTGCATATAAAAGTTATGTTTACACTATACTGTAGTCTATTAAGTATACAATAGCATTATGTCTAAAAATGTACGTACTTTAATTTAAAAATACCTTATTGCTAAAAAATGCAACAGTCATATGAGCCTTGAGTAAGTCATAATCTTTTTGCTGGTGGAGGACCTTATCTGGATATTGATGGTTGCTGACTGATCATGGTGGTAATTGCTGAAAGTTGGGGTGGCTGAGGTAACTTTTAAAAATAAGACAACAATGAAGTTTCTCATTAATTGACTCCTCCTTTAATGAAAGATTTCTCTGTAGCATGTGATGCTGTCTGATAGCATTTTGCCCATGGCAGAACTTCTTTCAAAAATGGAGTTAATCCTCTCACACCCTGCCTCTGCTTTATCAACTAAATTTAGGGAATATTCTAAATTATTTCTTGTCATTTCAACAGTGTTCACAGCATCTTCACCAGGAGCAGATTCAAGAAACCACTTTCTTTGTTTATCCATGAGAATTAACTCCTCATCCATTCAAGTTTTATCAGTTGTGGCAATTCAGCCACATCTTCAGGCTCCACTTATAATTCCGGTTCCCTTGCTATTTCTACCACATCTCCAGTTTGTCCCACCAGTGAAGTTTTGAACTCCTCAAGGTCATCCTAGAGGGTTAAAATCTACTTCTTCCAAACTCCTATTAGTGTTGATATTTCAACCTCCTCCCATGACTCATGAATGTTCTTAATGGCATCTAGAATCATGAATCTTTTCCAGAAAGTTTTCAATTTACTTTTCTGAGATCTATCAGAAAAACTACCGTAATGATAGTTATAACCTTATGAAATGTATTTCTTAAATAAGAAGACTTGAAAGTTGAAATTACCCCTAGATTCATGGGGTGCAGAATAGGATATTGTGTTAGCAGTCATGAAAACAACGATAAAACCCCTTGCACATCTCCATCAGAGCTTTTGGGTGACTAGGTCTATTGTCAATGAACTGTAACATTTTGAAAGGAATCTTTTTTTCTGAGTAGACTCAAAATATTCAGTAAATCATGCTGTAAACAGATGTGATGCCATCCAGGCTTTGCTCTTCCATTTGTAGAGCATGGGCAGAGTAGATATAGCATAATTGTTAAGAGTGCTAGAATTTTTGAAATGGTAAATGAACATTGGCTTCCACTTAAAGTCACCAGCTGCAATGGCCCCTAATAAGAAAGTAAGCCTGCCCTTTGAAGATTTGAAGCCAGGCAGTGACTTCTTCTCTCTAGCCAGGAAAGTCCTGATGGCATCTTCTTCTTCCTTGTTCTACAATGAAAATCCGTTGTTTAGTGTAGTAACCTTCCTCAAATGATTTTAGCTGGATCTTCTGGATAAATTGTGGCAGCTTTTCCATCAGCATTTGCTGCTTTACCTTACACTTTTATGTTACAGAGACAGTTTCTTTCCTTAAACCTCATGAACCAACCTCCTCTGCTAGCTTCAAACTTTTCTTCTGCATCTTCCTCACCTCTCTCAGCCTTCATAGAATTGAAGTGAGTTAGGGCTTTGCTCTAGATTAGGTTTTAGCTTAAGGGAATGTTGTATCTGGTTTGATCTTTTATCTAAACCACTAAAACTTCCTTCACATAAGCAGTAAGCCTATTTCACTTCCTTATCATTTGTATATTCACTGTTTTAATTTCAAGAACTTTTACTTTGCATTCACAACTTGGCTGTTTGGTGCAAGAGGCCTAACTTTTGGCCTACCTCAGCTACTGACATGCCTTCCTCACTAAGTTTAATCATTTCTAGCTTTTAATTTTAAGTAAGAGATGCATGACTCTTCCTTTCACTTGAACACTTAGAGGCCATTGTAGGGTTATTAACTGGCCTCATTTCAATAGAGTAGTGTCTCAGGGGATAGGGAGACCCAAGGAGAGGGAGAGACATGAAGGAATGGCCAGTTGGTGGAGCAGTGAGAACACACACAACACTTATCAATTAAGTTCACCATCTTATGTGGGCTTGGTTCATAGCACCCCAAAATAATTACAACAGTAACATCAAAGATAACTGATCACAGATCACCATAATAGATACAATAATAATGAAAAAGTTGGAAATATTACAATTACCAAAATGTGACAGACACAAAGCGAGCACATACTGTTGGGAAAATGGCACCAATAGTATTGCTCAATGCAATGTTGTCAGAAACCTTCAATCTGTAAAAAATATAAAGCTCAATAAAGTGAGGTACAATAAAAGAAGATACACCTATACATATATGTGTGTGTGTGTATACACACACCCAGATGGTCCCCAATTTACGATGACTCAACTTATAATTTTTTGAACTTATGAAGGGCTTATTAGCATGTAACCCCACTGTAAGTCCAGGAGCAGTTGTATATACATGTATTTATGTATATATACAGTCATGCTCTGCATAATAACATTTTGTCAATGATGGACCACCGATATGACAGTACTCCCATAAGATTATAATGGAGGTGAAAAATTCCTATCACCTAGTGACTCATAGCCATTGTAATGCAATTACTTTATTTTTTAAACAAATTCAGTGTAGCTTAAGTGTTTATAAGGTCTACAGCAGTGTATAGTAATAGTCTAGGCCTTCACATTCACTCACCTCTCACTCACTGACTCACTCAGAGCAACTTCTAGTCCTGCAGGCTCCATTCATGGTAACTTCTCTATACAGGTGTGCCATTTATTATATTTTATACCATATTTTTACTGTGCCTTTTTATGTTTAGATATGTTTAGATACACAAAGACTTACAGTTGTGTTACAGTTGCTTACAATATTCAGTACAATAACATGATGTACAGGCTTGTGGCCTAGGAACAATAGGCTATACCACATAGCCTAGGTGTATAGTGGGATATACCACCTAGGTTTGTGTAAGTATACTCTATGATGTTCACGCAATGATAAAATCACCTAACAGTGTATTTCTCAGAATGTATTTCCATCATTAAATGACACATGATTGTATATATGTATACGTGTGTGTATGTGTGTGTTTATGTGTGTGTATACATACATAGATATATGTTTCCTAACATATTAGAAGGAACCTAATATGTATATATACAGGACCATATCCTTACATAACAAGATAGTGAAGGAAAAGAGTAATTGGTCTGCTTTGGGTCATATCCCTACCCTTTACACCAATTGCTGGGACTAGGGGATAATGTCTTATGACTGGCCATTGTATTAATCTTTTTTTTTCAATATTTTTTGATGCTTTGACAACTTTGGGCCTTATGAACCTAAGAGGGACTACTCTCCCAGTGTTAGCTAATTCCTATAGACAGCAAACAACCTGCCTTTTAGCATGCCTTTGATATACAAACCAATCATTTTTTAGTTCAAACCCCCAATCACCTCCCTTACCAAACTCTCACACACCAAGCCAATGTTCTCCCACCTTATATGCCCCTAGGGTCAGGTCTCACATAACTAGAAACCACTCACATGGTTTTGATAGATTTCAAAACCTGCTGAAATCGTTCAAACTATCCAATCCTAGGCCTGCTTAGCTGCTTACCCTGCCTTGCCCACTCCTGCCTATGAAAAAAAAACACACAGTAAATGGTTTGCCCATGCTTTCCCTTCATTGCTTTTGCTTCCTGACCTATCCTGGTGCTTCCCCATGTGACCTTCCTTTGTGGCATAACATGCCTCCTATCCTTTGAAGAACTGTGAGCAATAAACTCTTCTTACAGATACAGACATCTGTCTCCATGTCAGGCATCTTATCATAACTGTACAAATCAAATCCTGGGTACATTCTAAACAGTTATGTGACTATCCTTGTGCTCAAAGAAGCAGGAGAAAAGATCTAGATTCAATGGTTATCTTTCTCCTTAAGGTGACTGTGTACACACAATTTTTTTTTTCTTCCATGAGTTGCTCTTAGAGTTCAGTGCTCAGAAGCACTGTTATTTTGCTCACTTTCAAGTTCTTATTTCTTTGATATGCAGACACAGTAGCACAGTGTCCCAACTATCAGGCAAAGCATTACCATCAGGACACCAAAAGTAAGCACTATTTAGAGGCCAAGTGAACATCAATTCTAAGAAAAGTATGCCAATAGATGTGTGCCACCTGGAGGTGGTATCTAGAGAGACCAACACTGATTTTTTGGGTCTCTCTAAGAAGCTTCCTGAGCATTAGATGGAATCTGAGAAGTGACAGTCAAAAATTACAGTTACTGGCTGTCCAGGTAGAAGGATCCAGACTGTAAGTACTGTATGTGTTTTTCTAATCACTGTAGTCCTAGAATCTAGTGCATAGTGAGTATTCAATAAATAATTGTTGAATAAACGAATACATGAATATCACCAAGAGCCAAGCCAAGCAGCAAAATCACAAAGAAATGTAAATTAAGACCAGAAATCCCTAAGGTACTTGAGAACACATGATGGCAGTTGGCATAACGCAACAACCATACTGACTTCCAGAGTAGAGGTCAAAAGGACAGAGTATGTAACCCAGACTTGCATCATTTGAGTCTCAACTCTACCATTTATTAGCATTGTGATCTTGACCTTAATTTCCTCATCTATAAACAGGGTACAATAATAATAGTTGTGCCACCTTCATAGGATTGTTCTGAGAATTAAATGAGGTAAAAGATGTTAAGTACCTGTCATTCAGTAATGCCCAATAAATGTTAGTCATTGTTGTTCATGGCAGGGGAAGCATTTAACTAACTGGAAATTGTCAGTAAATTACCTTCTCAGCCAATGGTATTTTAAAACTGCCTATCTAAATTACCTGCATATTAAGAATGTCACCAGGACTGGGACTTAGACACAGGGAGGCAAGACTGAAGTCAAGTGTGAGACATCATTGATTTCAAAACAGTAGTGACACTTGAAAATATAGTTTTAGTCTCACTTCAGAGGCATAAGCTGATTAAAATTTGCATAAACCATAATAGAGGGGAGCAATGGATGGATATTGGCAGCATTCATAGGCCCATCTGTATTAATATTGCTTTCCTTCTCTCCTTTAACAGAACAAACTTAACTGACCCATCTTTTTTCAATGATGTCTGTCTGCCCTTTCCTCTGGTTTAGCAGCTTATCAGTCACCAACCTTTAGGCCTCCAATATATCAGGAAATAGACTGTGCTGTTATTAACCCAGTTTCCTCTCCCCTCCTATGCAGATTCACAAGATGCATTCTTTCTTGGACTACATCATGGGTGGCTGCCAAATCCAGTTTACAGTAAGTTGTTTTCATGTTGATTCCTTGATTCTTATTCAGGAATCAAGAGATGAGGGGTGGCACTGGGTTTGGGGGATAAAGAGACAAAAGCTTATTAAAACCTTCAGGCAGCTTTGTTCAAGTCTCATTGTTGAAGCGTATGGTATCGTGTTTTTGAAATGTGTTCACACTTCTGTTTTCTTTAATAAGTATAGTTTTCAGCATCATATCAGGAAATTTATGCCACTCAACCTCAGGTGGTCTAGGAAATCCTCCTAACGCTTCCCATTTCTTCAGTAACTATGTGAGGCATGAAGCAGAGTAGCCTGTCAGATTCCATCACCTGGTGAGAAAAATTGAAAGGAAGTAAGCCAAGCAAGTAAGTTCCACTGAGCCAAGGCAGATGCCATGGTTGTGTTCATGTGACTAGACCACAGCACCAATGTCATACCCAGTAGTCGGGACCAAGAGTAAGCCATACAAACAGTTCATTAGGCAATGAAAAGATGAATTCCAAAGATTGGAGAACCAGGCCGAGGTCAAGGTTGAGAAGTAGAGTGGGTGTCTAGACTCAGTGAATGGATCAAGGATCATCCCCTGTATGTAATTTGTGTGCCCTTGGGATTTACACACCCCTGATGTATATTTGACTGGGTAGGCTGAGTCTTTTTAAAGTGCCTAGGTAGGTCAAGGTTGTAAGTCCATCTGCACTGGAACAACTGACTTTCACTGACTTAATATTCAAAATTCTCCTAGGTTTGGTCAGATGTGACTTCCAGAAAAAGAATCCCCAGATGGCAAAAGACAGATGTGCTAGAACCCTTTGGAAAGCAATGTGGACGTAAACAAGAGAGATGTAACTTGTACAGCATTTATTTCTCATCTTACAGAAATGTACTAACGAAGCTCAGCCCTGTTCAGCTCCCTGACTGGCTCAGTCATTTGAAAAAAGGAAATAAAATGGGTTTAAATTTTTAGTCAAGCTTTGGGCCCAAGAGAGTAGACGGGACCTATATATTCCTGGAACCAAGGAAGATGGTGCTCAAAGGACTAAAAGGAGTCTCAAAGGATGAGATAAATGGTCATTTACTAAACTAGCTTCTCCTTAGCTAGGGAAGTATCCTCTGCCCTAATCTCAGGGAGGTATACCTATGTCCTTCCTAAACTTGGGGTATTGTGCATTTATTTCTGAACGCTTACAGGAGCAAATTTTAGAGTTTGGTCTCCTCTTTAAAGTCTAAGATTCTCTAATGCACAGCCAGCAAGCCTTCCTACATTCACACTGTCACATACAGAAGGTAGCAAGCATGTTCGCTGAGGATACACATCTAACTCTAGCTGTCCTGTGGGCTCATTGCTGCTCTGAGCATACCCATATGGAAGTATGGAAGCAAGCAATGTCATAAAGGAGAGCTACTGGAAATAGTTTCCCAAGATCTTAGGCAAAAACGTGATTTCAGGAAACTATTTATAGCTTTTCAAGGGAAAGCTCTATTGATTTCAGTCTGGTTTAGATTTTGTAGATCCCATGCTCTTGAACAACTCTGTATTCAACCTTCAGGGGCTTGCTCTGCCCTTCAAATTGTGCTGCAAAGAATCAGCCCCAACAAAAATTAGGTGCTGAACCCCAACCTAAAGTGTTCCCAGCTCCACATCCTGACTTTCAGATATCCCTGTGCCCTGCATTGTTCTCCCCTCCTTTCTCAGTCTGCTGACCTTCCCCCACTGAGAGTACCACTTCAGTGTTTGTCACCAACAACACCCCAGTTGCAGCTCCCCATGCCCTCCAGTGTCAACTGATAGACCTGTGGGAGGTGTGAGTGAGGAGAGCAGTCTGGAGCAAGGAATGAGAAGAGGAGAATGTACAGATGAATGCTGAGGAGAAGGGGGCAGCCAACAATAGTTCCTCCCCACAGCCCTTCCTCCTGTAGGGTTTCAGGTTGGGGACTCAGAAGAGAATTGCTAGGTATTCTATTCCCAGTGTTCTACTAAAGGAAACATACCAGTCACTTCTATGTCATTTTCTTCCAAAATGAAGTCAGCTTTCTCATTCTAAATGTTTTATTGCTCAAGTGGTGCAACTTAATTTAAATTATAAGCTGTAATGCAAATCGTTAAGAAAAAGTATCGTGTCTTATTTAATTTGGTCTGTAAGTGTTTATTATCTGCCTGGTTATTTTACTGAAACCATCTGGCAACATGAAAAGGAAGTGGCAGAGAGATGAGAAGTGAAGAGAGGAAGGTTTCCTGGCATGGAGGTGGGCAGAGGAGAGAGAGAAAAGGGATGTTTCATTGCAGTAATTATACCTCAGAGGCTTTCAGAGGCAAAAACCCCCATTGGCACATTATGTGACCCTTGGCTCCTGAGCAACCAGGGAGCTTTAGCCAACACAAACTTTTTGTCTCCCTGGAGAAAGGCCTTCAAGCACCAGAGGTGACATAAAGTTCTGGATGTTCTCCATTTCCTCCCCTAGAGCCACTTTCCATCCTTCTCCACTCTCCCTTCTGTGCCCCAGGAAGCAAGCCTCCTTGGATGCACCACCCAAGCTCTCCAGCTCTTAGCTTTTGGTTGGATTTGACCAACGAGAGGCAGCCATCAGAGATCAAAGAATAGGAGGCGAGAGAACTTGAAATATTTATTTCTCTAGCTGCCTGCCTGCTAGGCTGTGGTTGGGCAGCGACCTTCTTCCTGACAGAAGGTCACAGTTCCTGTCAGGTGCCCTGTCCTGAAGATACTCCTCTTACTGAATTCTAGTAACTGCTCCCTCCCACTCTTTCTGGTCAGTTTCCATTAACCTTTTCCACATGTTTGTGAATTGTCCCTTTATTAAACTTCCTCAATCACCTTTTGAGTGGACTTTTTGTTTCCTGTAGTGGCTCTGACCAATACAAAATATAAGCAGGGGCTAGGAGAAAGCCTTTGTATCTTCCATAGATGCTGGTGCTTCTGGTTCAATCTTAAGAGTGTTAAAGATGGGGGCATCTTTCTCCTCAGCTGCTAAGCTGCTCAAAATACTTTTGCTGAATTGTAATAATTGAACCCTAAACCTTCAAAGGGAGGTTAGATTTAGAAAAAAGAACAAATTGGATAAATAAACATGATATTGGGGTTTTGCTTTAAAAAGCATCCCCCATAAACTTAAGTATTTATGTACCACTATATTCTAATTATAAATACTAAAACCTTAATTAGGAAAATGAATAAACAGGATGTATTTAGGGGAGTATTGGGGAAGCAGTTTGGGGTCAGAACTTGAAGGGCTTTGAATTTTGAGGTAATTTGGTGGATAATGCATGTTCCAAAGGATATTGACGAGGGCCTTGAAGCAACAGGCACATGCTTTCGACAAGTAAACCTGGGTGTTTGATGGTGGTGATGGGGGAACGAGAGATGAAGCAAGCAGAGATGGAAGCCCACTGCCACAGGCCTGGTACCAGGTAAAAAGAAGCTAAACAAGGGTGGCAGCAGCAGGAGAGGTACTGTGGAAAGAGAAGCACTAAGCCTCTGCCTAGAATACAATGAGAAGACTGAAAGCAATCAAAGCTTTTGTGCCTGACTGACAGAGCATAGTGGACCTGGTCAGGGAAATACGCGAGGCAACAGCAGCTGTAGGCAAGATGATGAATTTGGCTTTGGACACGTCAGAGGTACTTTCAGGTATCCCAGTGGAGATGGTACTTATAAATATGGACCTAGGTTTCAGGGGAGAGTCAGGAGCTACATGTATGTGGCTTTGGATGAGATGTCCCAAGAGAAAAATATAGAAGGAAAAGGGGCCTGATGACAAGGAATTGTAGAGGACCTCTATCTGGCAGCAGAGGAAAGAGGGGCAAAGAGTTAAGAGAAGAAATGCCAGAGGAGAAGAAGGCCCAAGGGGAGGCAGTAACTCAGATGCCCAGGAGGAAAAAGCTAAGGTTAAGATCAAGGGCAACAATCTTGCATGCTAAAGAGAAGTCAGAGGGTGAAGAACAACATGATGAGTAGGTAGGTGTATATCATCTTCAAAAGAGCAACTTCAGCATAACGAGATAGGTGAGACCCAGGAGTTAGAGTGTAAACAGAAGGTAAAGAAGTGAACACAGCAGGTGTAAGTATTCATTCAAGAAGTTAACAGTGAAGGGAAGGCAAGAGGTACAAGGAGGATGGCAATTTAAAGATTAAAAGAGAAGAGATTTTAAGCTAGAATCAGACTATAAGCAGAGGTAACAGCCCAGTGGAAGGAAAGAGATAAATGATGCTAAAAAGAGCCCTAGACAGTCAATGATTCTTATTCTTTTTTGGTCACCTGAACACTTGAGAATTTGATACATGATCTATAGCCTCTTACTGGGAAGTGCACACATCCAGTTTTGCATGCAATTTTGGGAGGTCAAGGGCACTCCTGAAGACAGTCCTTGTACCTCACATGAATCCTTAAGTCATAAGAACTCTAGAGCAACTAGTATTGCAGTCTTTGAGGAGGTGGGTGGAGGTGAAACAGACCACAGGGTGAGAGATTGGGTTTGGCACATGGTAGAGCAGCTAAAAATAAAACCAGATACTAGAATTTCACACACAAAATACAAAGTTATAGATAACACAAAATAGACAGATGCCGTACAGTATTTGAAAAGAAAAAATGGGGGAGATATACCTAATGCTAGATGACACGTTAGTGGGTGCAGCGCACCAGCATGGCACATGTATACATATGTAACTAACCTGCACAATGTGCACATGTACCCTAAAACTTAGAGTATAATAAAAAATTTTAAAAAAATAAATAAATAAATAAATAAATAAAAAGAGAAAATGGTAGAAAAATCAAAGGTTTTTTTGAAGGTTATTGCTTTTTCATATGCTCAAAAATGTTCATTGTAACACAGATTTTTACACAGGCACTCTGTCAGCAACCTAAATGTCTAACAATAAGGTAATGGCTACATGAATTACAGTATTCCTTTAAATACTATGATATTTATTATCATAGTATTTAGTTATTTAGTATTGACTATGATAAAGCCTATTTAAATTATAATTCTAAGGTTTAGATAATAACATGAGGTCATGTTTATGACATAGTGTTACAAAAACGTAAAGCAGAGTTACTCTATGATTACAACTATATATATATAAAATACCTAGAGAGGAAAGAAAAATAAAATATGACTTACCAGCCTAGTGGCATGGCGAGTGATATTTTTTTCTTATTAATTTTAAACGGACATTTCTTTTGTGTCATTTTTAAAAATTGAAGATAATATTGCTTTCTCTTACCTCTGACTATAGTTTATATTTTAGTAATATAATAAGCTGCTGAATGCAACTTCTCCCAGACTGACCTTCAAACCTAAAAATTTAGATCACTCATTAAAGGTTCTCTCAGGAAATCTTTTTCTTTCTTTCTTTCTCTCTTTCTTTCTTTCTTCCTTTCTTCTTTTTTTTTTTGTTTTTTTTTGTTTTTTTTGTTTTTTGAAACAGGGTCTCACTCTGTTTCCCGGAGTGCAGTGCAGTAGCACACTGGAAGCTCACTGTAACCTTAAACTCCTGAGCTCAAGTGATGCTCTTGCCTCAGCCTCCTGAGTAGCTGGGACTACAACCATATGCTACCACACTGGCTACTTTTTAAAACAAATTTTTGTAGAGACAGGGTCCAGCTGTGTTGCCCAAGCTGGTCTCAAACTCCTGGCCTCAAGTTATACTTTCATCTCAGCCTCCCAAAGCACTGGGATTATAAGTGTGAGCCACCGCACCCAGTCTCAGGAAATCTTTTCTAACCCTAAAACATTTAGGGCATCCTATGTCCACACTGTGGCCCAGTTTACATTTTTAAATCTTTATTTTACATCCCAGATTGAACACTGATCTACTCTGGTGTAGACCTTCGAGTCTGCTTACTGCTTAGTGAGCCCTGCTTACTGAATTCCTATGCAAAGCCAGGGTACAATGGGTTAAAGAGGCAAATGCTTTGCCATTTCCAGAAAATGAACCAAGTAAGTTTAGGTGACTTTCCCTACTTTCCTATTTAACTGCCCTCTTAGAAAGTTTTCTGAAAATAGAAAAGAATAAAAATGTAACATTATTTAAGAAATGGTCCAGACCAAACAGTATGTTCACCTACAAGGTTCATTGTATAGGTCCAAATTGTACACAGCTATTTAAAAAGAAAAGAAAGAAAGCTCCCCAAGAATGTGGTCCCAAAGGTAGACTGCAGGTACAACTAACCAGAGGTTGTTACACAGCAGCTTCCCTTAGAAAACGTCGAGAAGGTTCACAAATGACCTGTTTGGCAGATGAAGGGAAGGGATCTGAGGAGTGGGGTTGTTTCATGTAAGAATCTAAAAATGCCCAAAGAAAGATGCTCATCATTTGCAACCAGCCTTTTCCCAGGAACAGCTCCACACACTGGGGACTTGGTGTCATGGAGGGGGCATTTTGCATTCTTACTTTACAAGGTTTGCAAAGCTGCTCCACAGCTCTGCTTAATAATGAGCAGTGGCTTCCTGGGCAGAAGGAAAAAGCACTGGGCACCTGTTCTTGTGCTGCCTGCAGAGAAGATTGGAGCACATACCAGAACCACAGGTTTCCATAAATGCTTCCTATCAGGAAATGAAAACGTGGTGGCTCTGCGAGCTCACCGGTATTCAGAAAACCAGGCATCAGTAGCCACCTCCACACACTGACATTTTTCAGTCATTTTCTTGCTTTTATTTCTCAACTTAATCCCATCTTTCACTGCCTCCCTGTTGCTTTCTAAAATAAACCTAACCTTTCACTCTGCTCTCTTTCTACTAATGCTAACTTTAAAGAGCACAGAGAATTCTTGGTGGAAGACCACCCCCTGAAGATAGATATTTTATCTCCAGCTTCATAAATGAGGTTTTAGGAACCACTACTTTCCAGAAAATAAAAATGAAAATATTTTAGCTGACTCTTACTTAAGACTGTCCATTGCTGTCTAGTCACATGATAAAATTTTTTTATTAAACCATGAGAACTATAAAATGGGCTATATGGTAAGAATCATAAGCCTATTTCCTTTTTCATCAGTTAATTTTTAAGTTCATACCCTCCCCTAGGTCGATATGAGAATCTCCTGAGATGAAGTGGCCTCTCTCGTTGTCATAGACGTAGGGGCCATTGCCATGGGAAAAGTGGAAACCCTAGAGGCCTGACTGAAAAGAAATAATAGTAAAATTTCCACCAGGCATGTTTGAATGTTTAAATAGTAGCACCAAGAACAGGCAGCCCAATACTAACCTTCTAGCATTAGCCTGTACCTTGTTTCATTATCTTCAAAATATATTATTCTCTTCTGTCCCCTCAAAACCTGGCCATTCCCTTTCCCTAACTGACATCCAACTCTGCATTCAAGTGGTCACAAAATCCTATTCATTTTCTATCCTTACTTTCTTCAATCACTCTTTCCTTCTCACCATCATCTTTGCCCCACCCTAGTTAAGCATAAGAAAATTATTCCAAGCCTGACAATGAAGAGTTGATAGGAATGAAAATGACATAGTAGGGTCAGTATTGGAGGTAAAGCAAGAGACGTACCTGGGGTGCAAAATTTAAGGAGACTCTCACTCTGCGGATTTTGCAAGTATAGGGTCTGCTGAGAGTGAGTGCCTCCTTGGGTTTTACAAACTAGGCACTTCTTTTTGCCTCACCCCATCTCCAGCTCTGATATGTTTTTTTCTATTATTTTAAAATATATTGTTGCCACAATCTATGTATGCTTGTCCAGACATTACACACACTTATCTAGATATAACATATTCATCCAGGTGATATACTCTGGCTCAGATGCTGCCACTAGGTGCCTGCATGCTAGGAGAATTTTGCCAATGCCTAGGAATGTTTCTTGAGCAGCCATTTTTCTTTATGGATTTTTTTCCTCTGGCCTATATAACCCGATTGCATTGTCTAGTTTTATATCAAGACACCAGCATGTTTTTGTCATCACAGAACACCCTTAACACTTCAGGAGTTTCAGTCAGACAACCAGCACATGGGACAGATTGTTAGCTTTAGTATCAAGAGGCAGAAGCATGATGCCTTCAGAGGTAAGGAGGTGGTGACCCATGATGGAAGGCATCATGAATAGAAGTGAGGTGGGCCACAAGGTGTTTGTTATTAATAATAAAGTAGCAACACCTGCCAATGATTCACTTTTTAGATAAATTAAAGCAGAATCAAGGTAATCTCCATAACAACATCTTCACGCTCTCTAGAATTCCCTGGAGTACTAACATGCTTTCCTCAGTGGAAGAGAAAGGGGTGGCTTTACATCTGGCCTTCCCAGCATTACTTTTACCTTTTAAACACTATGTACACCTGTGCAAGGTGCCATTATCCCTTAAACATGTCCCATTAGGAGTAAAAGGCTGAGAATGGTGTCTGTGAGTTGAGCTTGGTAAACCCAGGAGGGCCCCAAAGATATGATTTTCTCAAACATTGTCTCTCAAACATCTCTGGAGTGCTCCTCTCAGAAATTTTCCTGGAATTATCTGCATGAGTTTGGATCTCTATCTTGTTGAGGCCTCATTGGTGGATCCTGAGGTGCTCTTCACCTCCTTCTTGTTCAGAAAATGCATGTAGGTTCCTCTCTCCCACCAGCTTTTCATCGTAGTCCTTGATTAAAAGGGCCTCACCTATGGTCTTACTTTTTTTTTTTTTTCCTGGTGGGTTGGCTCTCACCTTCAGGATAAACCTGTCCCAGAAGACACTGGACTTTATTGGTCTCCCTAGGTTACCTCCACTCATCCTCAGTAACAATCATCTCACTATTGTGTGTGCAAACATACATACACACACATTTCAGTTTTCCTTTTCTTAAGTTTTACACCCATTTTGGTCACGAAGAGTTTATTCCAGGCAATTCTTCCCCAAATTGCCATGGTTGCCTCCTAGCAAGTCTCCCTACCTCCAGGCCAAATCTCCTGCATTTTATATTGGAATAATTATACCCATGAGAAGTCCTGGTGTTTTGGTCATAGACATACATGTTCTCCTGGATGTATGATGGCGTAATGGAAAAAGGTAGAAAGGAACCATATAGACTTGGATTTAAACCCAACTCCAAGCCCTGTTACCCTATGTCACATGAAAATGGAGTAATATCATGCATATAAATGAAGTAATATCATGCCCTCTGTGTCACACACAGTTAGCACAGTGCCTGACACAGAGATTATTTCTCTCTTCTTTCCTTTGTTATCCAAAGTAAGGGAATCTAAGGTTCAGGGAAGAACTGCAATTTTTCTTCAGATAACCTTTTTTTTTTTTTTTTTACATACTCTTAGTACTAGCATTTATCAGTAGGCATCCCCTGATTTTAAGAAATCTGGGTATTCTGAAAACAGAGTTTGAATCCTAAGTTTATTTTTGACGTAGTTCTTTGGAGAGGCAAGGAAGAAAAAGAAAAACATAACACAGATGAACACGTAATTTCATGAAAGAAAAGAAAAAAGCCTATAAATGAATTAATGTTAGCCTATTGCTTTTCTTTCCTAGTCACTTTGATTTGATTGCAGGGTACAATATCAGATGTGACTAACATTTTTTTCCCCATCAACTTATACCTTAAGAAACACAAACACACACGTGGCATGTGTTCTCTACCCTTTCAGAAATAATGTTGCACCTTCCTAGAACCAATGGTGCATTCCAGTTATTTGTTGTAATGAAATTTACCAAATATAACACAAATAACATTTCCCATTATGATTCCCAAGATCATATGAAAAAATAGAGCCTTTCGGGCATAGTAAGCCAATGAATGTATTCTACTCTACCCCAGAAGGAAATGGAATTATGCAACATAAACATTTCTTTCTTCCCGTATGACTTTTATTTTAACCTTCTTCCCTCGAAGCTTAAGTGGCATTTTTAAAGAGATTTTTGCTGGGTTAACTTTTATTTAGATGGTGGTGATGTTGGAAATTAGAAGAAGTGTTTCTTCTCATTTTAACACCCTCGGCTTAAGCATTTTTTGTTCTTTCTTTTGTTATTAAGAAGTGTTCAGTGACTCAACGTTTACTTACATGATTATGATACTGGGGGTCAGAAGAAATTTGAGAAGTTGAAGCATAAATGACTAGTTGGTGGCAAGACAGGTTTCCCTTCTCCACTTCCCACTCACAATGCGATAACATTCAGGCATCCCCTTTGTTGTAGGCAGGAGTTCTTACATGAACGAGAACCAAAATATTGAATGCCTTACATGGAGCTGCTCCTTCCAGAAAATTTGTTATAACCACTCTAACACATCTCTCTGCATCTGGCCACTCATGGAAACATGACAATGGCTTTGGTATGAAGACTGTATCTTTAACACAGAATTTGGTTTTAAGGGATCTTACCTATGCCGCGTAGATGGAATTGTTCTGCCCAGGGAGTGTAGAAGTCTTTTCTTAGTGAACTGTGAAATTGGAGGGCAGATATTCTATCCTTACTCTTGCTGCCTGGTGAGATGGATCAACAGCATCTGGGCTTTCTGATCTATGTCAATCTCAAGTTCCTATTAAACAGAGAGAAGAGAGTGCACTGGTGGGAAGGGAGACTGAAGACTGCAGAAATGGCCTCAACCAAATTAATAACTAGTTTTTCAAGCAAATTAGTTTATTCTCTTTCTTTATTGGCAGGGTATGTAATGTGCTACTGTTTTTGACCCGAGGCCAGGTCTCTCTCATGACTGATCACAATTCTTAGGAGATGCATCCACTTTAAATTTACCTTTTCTTGTATTTTTCTCTTTTAGGTAGCTATAGATTTCACTGCCTCAAACGGGGACCCCAGGAACAGCTGTTCCTTGCACTACATCCACCCTTACCAACCCAATGAGTATCTGAAAGCTTTGGTAGCTGTGGGGGAGATTTGCCAAGACTATGACAGGTAAGAGGCTTCAGGACATTTGGAGCCTTATCATCTCTCATGTGGGTTCAGACGGTCTTTGGCTGATCCTGGGCAGAAAGTGGAAATTAAGTCTAGTAGCTCCTTATGTAGTGACTTCAAAAGTTTCATTCCCTCTGTACTAGAAAAACTAAGTTTGTACCTTGCTCACGCTGGTCACCAAACAAATCCTTTCTCAGCCTTCTTCTCTCAATTGACTTGCAAGACGATTGGATAGCAATTTTGGTTTCCATTTTGTGAAGTCTTAGCCTGTGCCTTGCTACTCAAAATTGCTTATGCACTAGCAGCATTCTTAACCTACTGAATTTGAATCTGCATTTAACAAGATCCCCAGATGATTTGTGTATACTTTAGAGTCGTAGAAGCACAGGTCTATTAGACATTATTACATCTGATCCTCACATTAACCCTTATATAGTATGTATTCCTTAAAAGAAGGGAATACTGTACAGGAGGTTAAGTAATTTGTACACTATCACGTAGCCAGAGGCAGGACTTGAGCCCAGGTCTACCCACTCCACAGCTTAGCCTGTAATCACTATGCTTCACTGACCTCAAAAGCTATTGGTAACTTCAGCAGAGGGTGTGGCACATGTATGTAGCCAGGTGCATGTGTATGTTTGCATGTATGTATATAGAAAACATGATTTTAAGATCAAATCAATGTTCTATTTATTCTTACTTGATGATAAATATTGGCCTTTCCTACCAAGAAAATTCCCTGTAAGGAGTATCTTGCATAAATTACGTTAAACTGAATGTATTCTGCCTTTCCAGTAGTTTTAGAATGAAGTAAAGGAATTTAGGTGCATGCATAAGGAAAGCTTTTTGAAATGAAACCAATGTAAATATAAATATGTGTAAATCTCAGTTAACTCCCTGGTGTGATTGTAAACCAAGGCTAGTTAGTAATGAGCAGCAACAAATTGACCTTTCAAACCAGGAAAATAAAGAAAGTAACTCCATCCTTTAGGTTTCAGAGGAATTTTGTAAGACAGCATGATTTCTGTTCTTTCTAGTGTCATAATTGGTGATAATCATACTAAAAACCTGTTATCCTCCACACCATGGGAACTGACACATTTTAAGGACTAGAATGTACAGGGAAACTAATAGGACAGGGCAATGGGAAAGGTGCAGTCAATCTCCTGCCTGCCTGTGTCTCTGGATTCAGCTTGGTCATCACCAGTAACTCAAATGTAGTACAAAGCCAGTTGGGGAATGAATGAGCAGGTCCAGTAAAATCAAAGAGCTTTAAACACTCAGGCCCTTGCTGATAATTCCTCTCCTGTACATCCAGGAAAAAAGTCAATAGTTATTTTAAATTATCTTTTTGGAAAAACACCTCTTATACTTAATCTTGAGGTATTGACTATGAAGATAACTTGAATTTCAACACTGATTTCTTCAAGCCCCAATGCAGGCAGTGGGTGAGGGGGTTCCTAGAGAGGTTTATATCATATGAAGATTTCCACCAGGGAGAGAAAAGACTGGCCAATTGCATCCACTACATTGGAAACTTCTCCAAACGTCCCCAAGACACAAAAACAAGAATTTTCTTCCTTCTTTATACCACACACACAGATGCATACACACATTAGTAATCTAGTAAAATAATGTGTGCACATATTGAGAGACAAGAAGGGGGAGAGTATCTTCAGGATTCTCAAGTTTTCAATCTTGAAATGCTTGCAAAAGATAAAGTAGGTAAATGCACTTAACACAAATGTCAAACAGTAGATGCTTAATTAAAAAGTTAACTCTGAATCTGCGGGGAAGAAAGCAGTCTCATAATAAATTACAAACAGAAGACTGATGGGTTTTCTAGAAATGAAGATAGTAAGCCTCAGAGCCCTCATTATAGTTCTGCAGCAGATTTAGTGGATGATCTGGAAGAAGCTGCTGAACGTCTCCATTTCCTGATCGCCTCACATGCAAAATGCAGAGACTATAGTCAGAGTGGCATGTATATCTTGTAAAGCTTTTATCCCTTTGTGAGCCAGACAAAGTCTGGGGAGCATTTTTTGTTCCCTCAAAAATGCAGATTCAATATAAAAATAAGATATAAGATATGAAACCTTAAGAGTTACATGAAGAATCATCATAAGTGATTGTTTTAAAATTTTTAATAGAGTAAGATTGACCCCAACTGACCAAGAAAATCAAATTTCTACAGCTCAGTGGAGCAATTCTTTTTTCCATATAAAGAAAGCAGCTCAACATTAAAATGGGCAAATACTTAAGGAAGAAGAAGGAGGATTGAAAAACTCCAATGCTCCTTTTAAAAAGCTCCCTAGAAGAATGTGTATTGCAAGCTGCTCACTTGAAAACTGACAAGGTTCCGCTGTTTCTCTTTTGTGTGGGTGGATAGACAATAGACAGGCAGAGTCAGGAAATTTCAAGTCGGGGCTCTGGAATTAATTTATTCTCACATCAAAGTCAGTGTGGTTGGGGCTCAAAATGAAACACTTGAATAAAAACTGACAGAAGGCATTGTTCCCCCTCCTGCAGTGACACAGAGGTTTCTAATCCCCATGAGCCTTAGAAATTCCTCCCAGCTTCTGGCAGCCAAGAGTTTTCTTTTTGCCTTGTACAGTCATTGCTACCAGGTCATTATGAGGTGATCCATGAGGTAGAACAGCTTGAGAGATGCATAAAACTCTTTTCAGGATGGCCTTGAAGGAAAGCTTCCCACAGACAGCTTGTCCTCAAGCCTGCCTGCCTGTTCTGTCCTTCAGCCTCTGAAAGAGATGGTGCTGCTCATTTCCTCTGCCTTTGACCACCCACCCCAGCACAACTACTTGTACACACACACAAAAACACACACGCATGTATGTGCGCACACACACACACACACACAGGCCCACACAAGCTCAAGTTGTAGCACTTCTCCAGCTCCTGTATCCTGGTCTCCCTAGTCTGCTCAAAGCCAAGGTGACATCTTTTCCTTGGGGCCAGTAGGGATATGGGTCTCTGAAAACCTGAAATGTTCTCTAATAAAAAGCATGGTCTGTCTGCTATCAAGACAGTACAGAAACTGAATGTGTACATTTCCTGGAAATATGGATTGCCATTTTATGGAAGTGTCTATCACAGAATGAGACAGATATCAGAAACCAAGGCAGCATTTCTCCATGATGTACTAGTTATGGTATGAGAAGACAAAGTTAGAACTGAAACCCAATCTGACAGGTATTTTCAAGTGTAGAGCAGTTGCTTAGTGATGAGAAGACAGTTCAAATCACGTGCTACCTTGTCCACTCTACACCAGTCAGTGGTCCTCAGCCTTGGCTGTACATTGAAGCCATTCGAAAAGCCTTAAAATGTGACGATACCTGCACCCCACCCCAGAATCTCTGATTTAACTCTCTGGTGTGCATCCTGGAAATTAGAATTCTTTATCCTGCTAGGTATCCAGGGTTGAGACCCAGTGTTAAATCATGAGAGATGGCTCAGATGCAATGGCTAAGGTCCTATGCAGCATCTATTTAAGCCCCAAACACCTCACGGGAAGCTGTAAAGACAGAAAAATTAATGAAGCACAATTTTTCCCCAAGTAGCCCACAATCTCACTGGGCAGAAACACGTGTAAATAAATTACAGCCCAGCATGGCCGGGGAAGTGTTGCCCTGTGTCGGGATGGGAACTGTATAAAAGAGGGAAGGGCTAACTCTGTCCTTTGTGGGAAGAGGGGTGGTCAAGGAGGGAGTCCTGGGGATGATAATTTCTGGGCTGATCAGAATTTGGCCTTCAGCTTTGTTGTTATTAGAATGTGGATGGATTTGTTCTCCTTTTTCTGAATCATTAGACCAGACAAGCCTTCTATGAGGACAGAATCAACAGGGATGATAGAGAGAGCATGGGGAACTGGTGACAGTTAGACCCGGGCTCAAACCCCAGCTCTGCTACCTCTGTTGTCATAAGATTTGCATTCTATGGGCCTTGGTTTTCTTCATTGTAAATTGAAGATGTATCGCTTCCCTTGCAGAGCAGTTATAAGGATTAGATATAAAGCAGCTGGCTAACACAGGTTCTACCTTTATAAATACTCAATAAATGTCAGAGGTGATTATCTTTAATACCCTAGATTTATGTTTCAAAAATGATCTGAACACAAAGGGAGACAGAACTATTGTGTCAGTTCTAAAGTTCACTTTGGACCAATGATCTTTAAAATGTTTTTGCTCATGTACTTTTAAAAAAAATATTAAAATGTATAGCTGTCACATTTTTTCACTGAAATCTGACATTTTTCATCATGAGTTTATATAGTGATAAAGAATGAAAATTCTAATGTGTTGTAAGTTTGGACATTTTATAATAAAACTCTTACATAACTCTTGTGACTGAGTCAAGTGGAATCTAAATGCCGTAACTATTTGATATCCACCATCATCCATTTTGTAAAAAATGAGCAAGCTCTTCAATGTGAGTTGAGAATTGTAATTGTTTCTTCCTTTTCATCGACTTATATTTCCATTCTCTTCCCTCCAAAATTTTATCCTAATGTATCTTAATAAAATTGGTTTGAAATTCTGTTATAATCACTGTATATTTCTGTAATAAAATTATAAATTTAAAACTTTTTAGTTTCTAAAAATTTCTAAGATGAAAAGATTCAAAGTATTTTTTAAAATCTGAGCTTTTATTACAATTATTACTAGTGCATAATTGATCAAAAGAACATAAATGTACTAGAAATTTCAGTGTAATTTTTGCCTATAAAAACCTATCAGAAATCAGCTCTTACTGAAACAGATAATGGGGTGTTTTTCCAATTTGTTTATAGACCTGTGGATGAGTGCTACCTATTACTAGAATGGGAGAGTCAAGCATCAATTCTAACTCAGTTTTTTGCTCTTATCATCAATGTAAATACTAAGAAAACCTGTTCTTATAAATAAGTGTATGGAAATAAATAACTTGTCTAGCAGTATTACTCAATTCTTTCAAGTTTAAGTTATATACCAAAAAAAATTACATAATGGCCAATCATCAAAACGTTTTCTTCAATGAACTACCAGCTGACATCAGCACCTGCCAAAATTTATTTAAAGCAAAACTTGGCAACTACCTGACTTGCAAAAGGATTTTTTCCCCTAGTGAATCATTCATGTTTAGAATTATTCTTCTTGTATATGATGCTACAGAGTTTTCACACTCTGGAGCAATGGACTATGATGGTTAAGATTCAGAATAGGTAAAAGAGAAGGATACGTGAAAGGGAAGGTATGAATGGAGAACAGGTCTCTCCATCACAGGCATTCCCAGAATATCAATTTCAGCAAAAAACACATATGGATGTAGAGGAACTGAATACTGATTTCCCTTTAAAAAAAAAAGCCATGTCCTCATATCCCCAGAAATGCTTTGCATTTCCAGGTACCCCAGTTTTAAGACCTCTGCTTCAGAGAACAGTTTTTATTAAATGTCTAGGTGCCCTGAGATGCCATATTGCTGTGAGCTTCATTTCCTTATGGATACAGTAATTTTTCTTTACGTTTATTAATGTTTTGATTTATCTCAAAATCTTCAACAGAAAGGAGAAAATGGTGATTAAAAATAAATCTTCCATCTGGAGGTCATTTGACAATAGTCATTCCCTAAGAAGGTCAGGACAGCTTACTCATTACCATTGAAGCACGTAGGGTTTTTTTTTATTGTATTTTATACTATTTTATTCTGGTTATAAGAAAGATTGCCTTTACCCATGTGGTAATATACCCCTCAATTTTCCAGATTGTCTGTCTTTGTCAGTCATTTTCCCAGCAGTTGCTAAATGGCCCTTTGCTGGGTGCTGAGTGGATCCAATCTTGAATTCTTAAAGCGTTAGTATACAGATGCTTTCTTTTGTGTTCAACTTGCTTTCTTTTACTTCTTGCATAATAAGACTCTTCTCTGCCTAGTTTTATTTTAAAACAGAAATAATGGATGTTTAAATCCATTGTGCTTAGGCTTAAAACTTTTTCTTTAGTGTGTTTATTAGTTAGAGGCTTTCTGGTGGCTAAGTTCAGAGAATTTATCCCTCCTGGCTCATTAATTATTCCCCTTGTAGGTGAGGCATTTTCCCTACCTTCCTACTCTTGAAACTCGATTACATAGCAGTGCATCATGCTCAGCAAACATTGAATCCCCAAAAGTGGCTTAGAAAGTATAAAAGGAATATCATTAACGCTAGAACACCATAGGGATTAGAAATGGATGGAATGTTAGAGCTTACCCCTCCTCAACTCATCAAAAAAAGAAAATAAGGGTGTGGAGACTCCCAGTTTCTCTATTTTGACTTCTGGGTCATCCTCGAGTGTGAAGGACCAGGATCCATCCTCCACCCAGAAAAGCCTTACTTCAGGCTTAACTAGAAAGTACCCTAAAATCCCCCGCACAGATCTCTTCTCACACCTACCCATGCTTGTTTTGTTTAAGGAGGAATTGCTGAGGCAAAGTATTTCAGTATGTCCAAGGACCCAGAAGTATATTTTCTCCTATCTATAGCTAATCCTTCATAAGCTGTTGTGAGTCTCTATTTACCCACATTAATACCTTATCTAATACCTGCTAGATGCAATGCACCACAAAGCCTGGATTGACCCAACAGTGAGGAGAAGTGGGAGTTGGTGATTTTCTGGAGAATTTAGACTTCGATTTCAAAGAATTCCAGCTTCCTTGTATCTCCCAGCCCCTAACCCCAAATTTGATACAATTGGCTATGTTTTGGTAAAGTTTTGTCAAAACCATCATTGGCTAGTAATGAGCTCTTAATCAGTCAGGTGGTGATAAAGGAGAATCTAGCTTTGCTACTTTGACTTTTCTGTCAGCCTGGGGATTAGTGGGGCTCATCCCTTTTTCCTTATAGATGTTTAGGACAGTGAGCCCTAACCTGAATTGACTGAATATACCAAGAACAGTGAAATGTAGGAATTGTTCCAAAGAACAAATCTCAGTTAATTTCTTAATGGGAGAAGAAATAAAAGGTAGATGACATGAGAAGGACACGTCCTTGCCAAGAGCCCTATGGCGACAGCCACCCGACAGCACAACTATTCGATTAAAGAGGGTCTTATTTGTTGTCTAGGCAGGGGGCCAGATTACTGGAAGTACTAGCAGAAAATCACATTTAATACTACATATAATCATTAAATTATAATGGTATAACAGAAAGGTATGGGCTTTGGAATCACACAATTCTCCTTGGTAATCACCATAGGCCACTTAGCCTTTCTGAGGCTCTATTTACCTGTAAAATGGAAATAATAAGTAGGTGAAGCTTCCAGGATTGTGTGAGAATTTAATAAATAGATACATCATCTAGCAGGGGGCTGGTACATTGTATGCATCAATAAATGTTAATTATTCTCTTCCCCATCCTGTCAACTATAGTACAGTAAAGTTAGAGTTAAGATCCAATATATGTGAATGCATAATTAAGAGAGAAACTCCAGTGTGCATAAGATAACTCAAACCAAAGGATATGTAAGTGATTCTCTCAGGTTTTCACAAGAATCCTCCCTTCTTTTCATAGCCACATTTTAATAATTAAAATTCATGGATTATGTACTCATTAACTACTGAGCACACATTCCATGACAAGTTCTATAATAAATGGTGGGGCAGGGGGCAGTTGAGGCAGAAGACAGTAGAGATATAAAGATTTTAATACCAAAGACAGGGTCTCTTTGAGTTCAAAAAACAAGAAAAGACATGTAAACAACTTATCACCGCTTGTATGTGATAAGGTGGTGGGCACAATGAGTCATGTAGAGGGAACCAAGCTCTGTCAAATTAGCCAAACTTACAAGCTTTCCACTGCTTGTTTTTTGCTTTTGAGATAGAGTCTTGGTCTATTACCCAGGCTGGAGTGCAATGGTGCATTCTTAGCTCACTGCAGCCTCCACCTCCAGGGTTCAAGCAATTCTCTTATGCCTCAGCCTCCTGAGTAGCTGGGATTACAGGAGTGCACCACCATGCCCAGCTAATTTTTGTATTTTTAGTAGAGATGGGGTTTCTCCATGTTGGCCAGACTGGTCTTGAACTCCTGGCCTCAAGTGATCTACCCACCTCGGCCTCCCAAAGTTCTGGGATTACAGGAGTGAGCCACTGCACCTGGCCCCATTGCTTTTTAATATCCATTTCGATTCAGTCTTATCTGTATTTGAACTCTAGCTCTAATTAGTGGCATGATCTTGGGCAAGTCACTTTACCTCTCAAGGCATTTCCCCACCTGCAGAAGGGGAATAACTATCTCTCCTTGTATTTTAAAAGATGATACATACAAAAGGTTCTAACACAGTCAACCATTACAGTTACCTAGTTCATGGTCACTTTTCAAAGGAAACAAAGTTGAAAGTTGAAGTGGAGGCCATTGATGAAAGGGTAGGGCCATTTTATTTCTTAGTATAGAATCTAGCAAAAAAATTAAGGGAGGAAGTTGTAGACTAATGACTGTAATGAACTTAAGGGGCTGTTTCTTGATTTTAATTATCCATGCTATTGCTACCCCCATCACCACAGACAATCAAGAAGCATGAGTCAGCACTGGCATAGCAACATGGCCTAGCAACCTAGTAATGTAGGTTAATGTTTTTCTTTCTCATTAAATGAATAAATGAAGCAACTTCTTGTTTTTTCTTTTCTTCATTTTGGTTTCAGTGACAAAATGTTCCCTGCCTTTGGGTTTGGCGCCAGGATACCTCCAGAGTACACGGTGAGTGAGTGGAGATGTGATCTTCTTCCACTTCACTGTGGTCAAAGGATAACTTGGCTCTTCTTTGCAGCAGTCTCACACTCCTGACTCTGACCTAACTGTGTCAGTAGGGCCTACAGAGTCAGAAATTGTCTTCAGAATCAGTGAGATTAACTCGCCAGGGCCCGTCTCTTGATGAAACCCTATCTCCTGGTATTTTGGATGGGTCTTCTCAGAGGTCCAGATGAAGAGTTTCATTGTTTAGTTTCTTATAAATGTGGTCAGAGTCTGAGAAAACACTCAAGAAGTTGATCTCCAGGGGCTCAGAACCTATTCACTCGTATATCCCCTAGGAAATAGAATTCTATTGGCAATGCCAACTGGGAAAGTCCGTGACAATGGAGTCTACAGACTTTCTTATCCCAAGTCTCCGAGTCCAAGTCTTGTATGGGAGACACAGAGAAGTTTTGAAGAAAGAACTATTATGACTTAGAGAATTGGGAAGCTGAAATGTTCTTCTGAAGACGTTGGAATCCTATTTGGTTTTGATAATGATTTCTCATGACAGAAAAAAGGCAAAGATTGTGTGTAGATAAATTTGCACTGTAATGAGGCTGAGACACTACTGTGATATTCTAGATGCTCCTGTAGAACATTCTCCACAGAGAACTCGTGCCCACTAGGTGGACAGGGCCTTGGAGAGACAGCAGGGTACCTCTCCCAGCCTCCACCTTACCAGTGCCTCTGAGGTCTGAGCTAAGTACAAACAACACTGCCCAATCCTCAATTTCTCTTTTACTGGCTGTGTCTGAGCCACAGGTGAGGAGGTAGATGCTGACATTTGCTCCCTCACTAGAGCCATCATATAAAGGGCTTTCCCCTTAGGTATCCTTTTTGAAAGAGGAAATCAATATCCCTGTTGCTCCTAGAGTGAATAGTGGATGGAATCGCTTGTCTCCCTGACCTGTTCTCCTTCTTTCTTGCCTTGTATTCCACACTGGCCTTTCTGCTGGGCATAGCTACATAATTCTAGAAGCATTTATTAGAAATACAGCTTGTGGAGAGAAAGAATATAGAACAAGAGTTATCAACTGGTGGCCTATAGACATTATTCAGGCCACAAATATGTTATATTTGACACACTTTTAAAAAACGAATTCAGCAATTGCATATATAAAATGTCAGATTTCTGGTTTCTCTTGAAAACCTGAAAGGCCTGGCAACACTAAGATTAAAAGATGACCGATACAAGAATAAGCTGGAGCTGAGGAGATATAGGCCCCTTCAAATCGGGAATGTAAACAGGTGAATGCCCACTTTCTTCATAGAGCTGCTGAATAGCTCAATAGCCATCAGCCCAACTACCCAGGGATTCTTGAGTTTTCACCACATCCCCACCAGGTGGTCTTCCAGCCTCAGGTTGGCCCAACAGGGCTGAGGACAGAGCTATGCACCATACCTTTTTCTCACTAATGACATCTTTTTGGTTCCCTTCCTGGAGTAACTAATCTTTCTTGCTGTTTTCTGAAGTCCTCTTGTTCACTTGATCCCCTAACTCCATCCTTCCTGTCAGCAAAATCCCCTGGTTATTCTTGTTTCAATAGGCATCTCTCACATTTCCCCATTTCGGGTCCCCTAATTTCTCCCATTCCTCAGACAAGCACTGATGATTTGAGCAGCTCAGGTGCCCCCAGGAGAGTTTACAAGGTTGCCACAATTTACTTCTTAGGACAAAATCTGAAAGTATGCATTGAAACTGAAACACAAGCACCTCTCTTTCTTAGTTAGCACTTTCTCAGAAACAGATCTTGAGACAAGGGTTTGGATGCAAATAGTTTATTTAAAAGGTGAGGGAAACCACAATAGAGGTTGGGAAGTGGAAGTCAGCACAGAGTATATTATCAAGTCAGTTACCGCTGTTGGCAACTGGTGCTTAACTCTGCTGAAGAACCCTAGGAGACAATATACAGCACACATGGACCCCAAGGGATAAGGGAGCTGGGATATGTATACATCACCTCCTGTTAATTACTGATTACTCCCAAGGGTCACTTTTAGCCTGTCACTTGGGCAAGCAAGGCAGGCCCTGGAGGCCAAGAAAAAACTTAAGGTAAACAAAGCAAATAAGATGACTGAAGTCAGCTGGCTTACCTGGAAGTGCTAAGAGCAAGGGACTAGGATAAGCACTGAGAGCATCACCGATCACCTCCCACTAAGAAAACAGGTGTCTTTTAACACAGTGACCTAATTTATGGATACCCAAAAGAGTCAGAGCTTGGAAATATCCTTTGAAATGAAATTCTCCATAAAATACCAAATGATTCAATAAAAATGTCCAGATGCCAGAACATCTATCTTGTTTTATCAGGTTTTCGGAAAGAAAAAAGTAAACAATATGTTATTTGACCTTGTGCATAGGTTCTGCCAGGTAGAGGAATTTGTGTTGAAATATTACAAAGTATATTACTTTACTATGTTTCCAAAAGTAGAGTGCAGTCTGTTTTACCTGTAGGTATGTGAAAATCCTCCTGCCCTGTAGTTCTGCATATCATGTTAATGATTCTTAAGTGTCAACTGCTTAGCTGAAGCTTTTATAACCATCGCTATCTTCAGCAGACAGCTTGGGTTATTGAGTTTTTTTGTTTTTATTTTTGTTTTAATCACTGGGTCCAAATAGAGCTCAGCCAAATCTAAGCCTCCAGTCTGTGGCCAGTTCTAACTAGCAGCTATTCAAAGTTATCTTTCTGAAATCTTTTCTTGGATTTTTTTATAAGCCTTATTCTCCCCTCCTGACAGCATTTATCTGATTCTAGAAAATATTCCTGTCACCTCAACTCCACAGGGAGCTTAGAATTCACCCTCCATCTCATATTGATTGTGTAAAGGCTTGAAATGGTTCCTGCTGCTTAACACATAATGAATATAATGGGCATTTGTTTGCAAACTCTAAACCCCAGTGCCTTCTTACTGGATTAAAGTTGTAATTCTTCTTTCTTCCTGTTTTTTAAATTTTAATCGGTGTCTAGGTCTCTCATGACTTTGCAATCAACTTTAATGAAGACAACCCAGAATGTGCAGGTAAAGCACAACGTGAAAGAAAGCCAGTGTCACAGTCCTTCCCTTTGCAGCTTTCCCATTTTAGTTCATCTCTGCTGGTGTAGCATATTAGTTACGATTGTCCACAGAATCTCTGCTTTCTGTATCAACATAAACCATGCTACTCCACAGGCAAGAGAAAGCCATGATAACAGAGCAGGAAAATAAGAACTGGAAAAGACAGAATGCAGAAGAGGTGGTCTTGAGTGTATGGCAATAATGTTGATCCCAGTCTGGGATTCCTTGGGCCATAATAATAATAATAATAATAAATGAAACTTCACCTGGTAGGCAGTGATACAATATCCCTCTTTCTGTTTTCCAAATTTTCATCAAGTGTTTTTTTTTTTTTTTTTTCACAACTTCATCTCTGTGCCGATATAAGGAGAGGGGGGAACATGGAAATCATTTCCCACTTTCGGCATATCGGCCAAGGACATGGCCTCAGCGAGTTTGAACAAGCAGCATCATGGCTTTGTGCCAGAGAAAGCCTGCTCAAAGGTTCTGGTTCATGTTCCATTGTTTCCAGCCAGAATTCTCTGACATGATTTCACAAAATAATGATATTGAAACTATGATAATAATTATTATAATAAATTTTGTTCTAGAATGATTTTTTCTGTTTTCTAACAGAGCCAAGTACCTATGTTGCTATGAAGATCATAAGACATTTTTGCATTAGAAATGTCCATATCTCTCTCTTCTTGTCAAGGAGGAAGGAGGCTAAATCAGGATTAATTCAGATCCAGTAGAGTGTGTAAGGCATCTAGCAGTTAATGGCCAAGAATATGATATCAATACCATTGAGTCTGAACACAGTAACCTCCAAGACCCAATCTCCATTCTGCCATTTTTTCCACTAATGTATTCTTCATCCTCAGTTTATTATGGATTAGACTTTCCTCATCCCCAACCACCCCCATTCTGCAACTGTAAGAGTGGTTTCCCCCACAGCAGAATGAAATATAAACCCTGGTATTCACCTGTTTTATACTCTTAGAATTCATCTGCCTGATACTTTTCAAGAGGAAATCAAACTTGCTTATCTTAGGCAAAAGCTCAAGAACCAAAAAAACATAAGGAGCTTCTATTCAGCATCACTTAACTTCAGAACCAGACTGCAAAATGACTTGGCATCTGTCTTTAGAATGATAGGCTTTGGGGCAGGGCCAAGTGGGTGCAGGATTGCCAATGAGGTTGGGAGCATGTATGTAAGGGCAGAACAGAACAGAACTTGCTCATCTAAAATACCCAAGAGCTATTTTGCAGTGCATGGTGGTTATGGAGAATAATCTCAGGAGGGAATTGTGTGGATCCCTCTGGCCAAAAACAGGACTAATGTGCTATTTCAGAATAGAAAGGGATAGAAGGATAAGCTGAATAGGGGAAGGCAAGCAATAACACAGGCACAGACAACAAGAGAAGCCATTTGAATAAAAATCATTTGTAATGAGATTATTGCTGTGGGATCAGAATGATAACATGAAATGTACAGTCAAGATGTATCAAGTACTAGGAGAAGCTGTATAGATAGGACTGCCTCTCCTGGCAGAGTCCCATCCTTTTCTATTTCCTGGGCTCATATGGCCTCAGGATGGAAGCCCCCTTTTAAATGAGGGGTTGTCCGTGATGATAACCATCACTTATCTGTACTCAGTGCCCAGGAGATGAGTATATCAGCCACTTTGCTCATTCATCACACACTTGGTGAGCATTACATTTGCTCGATACTGCCTCAAGCTCTTTGGGGAAATACAAAAAATAAGTAAGTCATGATTCCTGCCCGCAGAGTATAACATCTGGAGAGATGGTCATGGGAACTCCTGACTCTTATAGAGGGCACGGGTAGTATCTACTAGAGTCAACAAGATCGTGTGGAAACAAGTGCAACATTGAAGCTAGCTTGCTAGTGGCTAAGAACACAGTGCTTAGAGCCAGGCAGACCCAAGTTTAAATCCTGAGTCTTGAACACACTTGCTATGTGACCCAGGGCAGATCATTGAACATCTCTAAGCCTCTGTTTCTTCACCTATAAAATGGGTATAACATCTATTTCATTATGCTATGAGGAGCGAATGAAATCTTATATATAAAGTAGGATATTAGGGAAAATTTTGTGGAAATCGTTGCTTTTGACTTTAGCTTTTAAAGAGGAGAATGATTTCAGTGGGGAAGGAGACAGCAACACTAGCAATGTGGTATTCCTTTTTATCTTAAGAACATAAACATGATGTTGATAAGGACTATTTGGGATATTTAATGCTTTACTTTTGTGTGTGTTTGGCTATAAATATATTTGGAGTGACTCTGGAGCTGTTGATCTTTGCCAATTTCACCTCAGGAATTCAAGGAGTTGTGGAAGCCTATCAGAGCTGTCTTCCTAAGCTCCAACTCTACGGTCCCACCAACATTGCCCCCATCATCCAGAAGGTTGCCAAGTCAGCGTCAGAGGAAACTAACACCAAGGAGGCATCGGTAAGGAGGGGGCTATTTGCCTCCTAAGGGGAGCTTACTCTTCCTCACCTGGATATTGGCCGTAAGACCCATCTCACTCTAACAATAAATTCCAACACTTCTCCCTGTGTGAATTTGGACAAATGACTTAACCTCCTCCTATCCTCAGTCTTGACATCTGAAACATGGGGATAATCAAACCCATCTTTGCTGGGTTGTGAGGCTAAGAGATGACACATGTCAAATGTCTACCACATTGTCTGAACACAGGAGAAACTCAACAATGGAAGCTACTATATTCACTAAAGTATGTCATATCCACCTCCTGTCCTTGAAAAGAAAAAAGAAAGGTTTAAAAATAAGCTTGCTTTTTAAGGTACCCATACTACAGATGGAAGCAAAGCACCATGGAAGTAAAACAATGGATGATTCTGCCTCCTGGTGGTAAAGCGCAGCAGCACAAAACATCACAGCAAAAATTGGTTTCATATTCTATTGCTTTTCTTAAGAAAAATGCAAACCAAGACCAGAGTTTGAGTTTTGCCCCTAATATTTTAGAAGTAAATATATTACCACAATAACTTCTGTATTTATTTTAATAACATTAATACATGTCTTTTTAGCTTTATGATTTTTTCCAGATTTAGTGGAATATTACCAATGTCTGAAGTTTGCTCTGTAATTTTATCCTGGGTACTGAGTTTTTATTTAAAAAAATACTACTCCCTTATCTTCTTACATCAATTCATCTAACCTTCTTGCACTGTCTTCATGTTCTCAGCCTTCCTTCATGTTAGAATGGATGGAGGACCATGCTCCTACCTCATGTCAACATCTTCTTTTGTGTACTTGAGCACATCTCTGAATTATCCAGGAACTTTGACTCTGCAGTTATATTCTCGCTCTTTCTCCTATCATCTATTGTTTTCTTTTCTACTTCCCTTTGTACTGAAGACTCATTCCCATTAACAAGTACTCATTCAATAATATCTCCTGCTTTAAGTTAATATCTCCCCCTTGACTCTGCTTTGCCCTTTAGCTACTGTCCTTAACTTTTTCCCACTTATAATCTGCACTCCATGCAGAAACCAGATTGATCTTTTAAAAATATAATTAGTATTGCAGCATTCCTTTGTTCTAAATTCTCTAATACTTCTCATCATACTTGGAGTAAAATCTAAATTCCCTGATATGGCTTAGAAGACATTATAGGATCTAATCTCTGCCTACCTCTCTGATCTTAATTCTTATCATTTTCTCTTTCGCTCCCTATATTTCAGCCACACTGACCTTCTTGCTGTTCCACAAACACACCAAATATATTCCCACCTTGAGGCCTTTTCACTTACTGTTCCCCTGCCAGGGTTTCTCTCACCCAAACCTCCATATGATCCATTCTCTGACTGTGTTAACATCTCTTCTCAACTCTCAACCCCTCTGAAAGTTCCCCCTGGCTACCTTATCTAAAATAGCCAACCCACCCACCCGCACCATGTCTCAGCTTTACTTTTCTTCTTAGTACCCATCATCATCTGAAATATTTTAGGTGCATCTACTAACCTGTATATTTTATGTCTCTCTACTTTCATATGGAAGCTCTACAATAAGACTTGTTCACTAGTATATCCCTAGTACACAAAACAATGCCTGCACACAGTACATGCTTAATAAATACTACTTAAAGAACGCATATAAAGCCACTCTACTTTTCATATATATATATAATGAAAAGTACTTTACATTTTCTTTTGTAAAACTGGTGTGTATCTTAAATATTGCACATCTTGTACGCCAGAAAATACAGTGTTCCTGTTTTCATTATAATTTGAAGTCTCTCCTACTTAAAAAGATCCAAATTCCCAAGGTCCCTAGAGAGAACAACAGTCACTGCATGTCTTTGGTTCAGTCCACTGGCCCTTCCATACATCTCATTATCATCTTCAGCTACTCCGGGCTTGGGTCATTGAGTGACATGAGCAATTCCTACAAGGGAATAGGAAGTTTGAAGCAAAATTTTGTTTTAGACTCATAATTTTTCCATGTCCTTTTATTAACATAGTTGACCACAGTTTCAATCTGCTACACAACATCCATCAGGTGACCCATAGCTATCCATAAGAAACAAATGGGTCTGATCTGTGGGGCATGTTCTCTCATCTCCTCTGTTCATTACATCATGTTCTTGAAATCACTAACCGGTGGTTTGACTGTGAAAAGGACTGGAGACCCTGGGGAGCTAAGTGTGTGTTACTTCAAATAATTACTTTAGAATAGTGAATATATAAAACTGTGGATATATTAGCCTTTATGCTGGGCAGAGACACTCTGTAAGCTGAGATCTTGTCCAGCAGTAATGCTGAGGATTTAATCCAAGCCAAGTCTTTTCCAGGTGTGAAAGCTAAGAAAATCATGACTCCTCTCTGCTCATTTTTCCTCTTCTTTTCAGAAGCCATGAACACTATTAGGTTTTTTTTTTTTTTTTTTTTTTTTTTTTTTTTTTTTTTTTTTTTTTGCGACAGGGTCTTGGTCTATCACCCAAGCTGAAGTGTAGTGGCACAATCATGGCTCACTACAGCTTTGAACCTTTTGGGCTGAAGCATTCCTCTGGCCCCAGCCTCCCAAATAGCTGGGACCAAAGGCATGTGCCACCACGCCCAGCTAATTTTTATATTTTTTGTAGAGGTGGGGTCTTGCTATGTTGCCCAGGCTGGTCTCAAACTCCTGGGCTCAAACAATCCTCCTTCTTTAGCCTCCCAACGTTCTGGGGTTATAGGCATGAGCCAATGCATCTGGCTAACCACCAACACTTCTCAGGATTATAGACCAACATTTCCACCAGTGCGTGGGCCCTGCAAAGGCTTCCCCAAATGCATCTCTTTCTGACCACAGAGGTCTTGGAGCAAATTTGAACCTTCATAGATGCAAGATTTAGGAATAAGGTTTGGATGTGACCATTATTTTATTTTATTTTTTAACCTTTTTTCAGCACCAGAACCAATTCTTCAAATGATAACTTGCTTAGAAACTCAACATATAAAATAGACTTAAAAAATACACTATTCTTGCCAAATTTGGTCTAAGGAGTAGAGTCAGAAACTTGTCCATTCTCTTTAGCTCCCTTATCCTCAAGAGCATCCAAGGCATCCCTAAGGGCTCCCTGGGGCCCAGTTTAAAAATTGGATGATCTCATCCCCTCTGGGGTACCAGGACTCACATGGCTAAAAAGAGAACAGAACTAACAAAGGTCTGGATTTCAGGCTGATATAGAACAGCATGAGTTTTTGGCCATCACTCACTCCCTCAGGGATAGCTGGGTCTGCAATGAAAGGACAGGTCATTAAATGGGACTACAAGTAAGAAGCATCCAACCCACACATCTCCATATAAATTACCCCTATAGACCAAGAACATAAGCTTTTCCCCAGAGGTTTCTCCTGTTCTTTGAAAAGTCTGTGGTCCAGAGTCCCTTGTTATCTCTAAGGGTCATAAACTTGAACATCTTTGGCAAGCTGTGCCAGGGAGTCTGTTGCTATAGGATTTTCCCCTTGATTTTGTGGAACTCTTCCAGGTAAAAAATGCCCCTCTTTATCTAAACAGGACCTCAAGTATATTCAAAGACTATAATATTTCATCCATGAGCATTTTCCCAGTCTGACTTTAGAAGGAACTGTTATTGTTTGCTTTATTGGAAATTTCTATCAGGTTTCGATCCTGCAGTCTACAGCCTAGTGCCTTTAGCTAGATGAAACCTGGCAGGATCAGATTCCAGAATCCTGACAATCTCTTCAGACCAGGAGTTCTTAAACTTATTGTTCCACAAACCCCTTTAGCAGCTGATAAAGTTCATAGATCCCTTCTCAGAAGTGGTTTTTTGTGTTTTTTTGTGTGTGTGGTTTTTTGTGTTTTGTTTTGTTTGAGATGGAGTCTTGCTCTGTTGCCAGGCTGGAGTGCAGTGGCAGCTCACTGCAACCTCTGACTCCCTAGTTCAAATGATTCTCCTGCCTTAGCCTCCCGAGTAGCTGGGATTACAGGCACGTGCCACCACGCCCAGCCAATTTTTGTATTTTTAGTAGAGACAGGGTTTCACCATGTTGGCCAAGATGGTCTTGATCTCCTGACCTCATGATCCGCCCACCTAGGCCTTCCAAAGTGCTAGGATTACAGGCGTGAGCCACTGCACCCAGCCAGAAGTATTTTTAAATGTACAACATAAGACCCATATTATAAAGTAAACCAATTATATTGAAATGCAGTTAGCAAAATATTTTTTAAAAGGAAGATGGAGACATCATAAATACAGTAATAAAATGCTTCTGTATTTACATTTTAAATTATGAGAACCAGTAGTTTGTCTAATAATTCTGTAATTTCTAAGTTGTGTTAAACATAAATAATACATTGAAATATATGTAGGTACTGTAATATAACAGGAAAATATGTGTTTTTTTATTAATAACTAAGCCACAAGTAGAACTAATATTAATTTGATTTGTTGATTACACTTATAGTGAAAAAATGATAAATTTTACTTAGAGATTAGTGAAAATAAAAATGTAATTTACCCCAAGTTTACAGACTGCCTTAAATCTTGCAGTAGTCCATGGAGACAGGTTAAGAACCCCTAGTTTAGATCAGCAGTCAATAAACTATAACTAAACTAAACTGTTTTTCAATGGCTTGCAAGCTGAGAATGGTTTTTAGATTTTTTAATTGTTGAAAAAATCAAAAGTAGAATAATATTTGTATTTTGTGACATATGAAGATTTTGTGACATTAAAAATCAGTGTCCATAAATAAAATATTATTGGAACACAGCCTCTCATATTCATTTTAAATATTGTCTATGGCTGTTTTCACACTACAGTGGCAGTGTTAGGTAGTTGTGACAGAGACCATTATGGTCTACAAAGCCTAAAATACTTATTAATGTCCCTTGACAAAAAATAGTTTCCTGACCTCTGCTGTAGAACATTACGACTCTAAAGTTTCTCAATGTGGTAGTATGACTATCAGGTTGTTTTATTTCTTAAGGCATTTATCAGGTAGGGGAGATTCATCCACTGAACTCTAAGATCAGATCAGACAGGAGTTAGGGGAAGGTAGAGGATAAAGGTAGGAGACACAGAAGTGTGATTCACTCGAGGGCCCACCTGCTCATGAATCAGAAGTAATCTCTTTTTGGATGTGCCACCTGCCCTGGTCTTCCAGGTGCACTCTAGAGAGGGTGACTTATGATTCTGGTATGTCCTATACTCCTTCCCTCCATCCCCAAACCACCAACATTGCCTCTTTCTGCCGCTTCTCTCTGCACCTCCCTACCACCTCCATCACTTCATCCTACTGAAAGCCTTCTCTAAACTCTCAAGCCAACTTCCTTGTGAACATATACAACTCAGAAAATACAGACATAGAAGGAAACATACAACTTGAATGAATCTGAAAACCAAACTGGGAATTCAGCTAGGACTAGGGGTGAGTGGTTAGTTAATGGACATGGAACAGAATTAGCCTTTACATTAGACTGTATGAAAAGCATTCAGAACATGTGGCTATCTTCATCACAGTGTGAAGTTCACCTACCTCCAGCTTACATTTTTCATTTAAAACATTTTTTCAGGCTCACAGAAAAAAAATGAAATTCTTTAGTACTACCAAACTATTTGCAACATTAAGTATATGATTCTCAAAATCAGATGTTTTCAAAATGTCACTCTTCTATCCAATCTTTCTCCTTTGAAGTATGGTAACGTGGAATGGCTTAATCTCACTCTTACTACCTATAAATGTTAGGCATCTTGCAGGATTATATTGAAAGTTCTTTTCTGTTTAGCCTGAGCTGCATCTGACTAATCTGCTTCTCTTTCCTCTTACCAGTAAAGGCCATCATGATGCCTCTCATGTTGACTAAAAATAATGATGACCTCCAATGGGTCATCCTTCTCCAGGCCCCAGAGCACTTTCCAAGGCTTCCCTGTGCTGCTGAGTACAGCACCTTTCCTCCAATTCCCATCTCTGCTGAGTCATCTTCCAGCTTTCCAGATGGAAAGGGGCCAGGCAGGCTGCAGGCCAGAAGTCAGGACTTAAAGCAGGAAGCCATGGGAGCACTGCAACCTTCTGCAAGTGTGCCTGGAGAAGAGCTGCCACCTTTGTGGCACATGGCCTTCAGAGGGAGAGACTGCAACCCTGACCCTCTTATAGCAGGACTTTAGACTAGTGCCATCCAGTGGAAATATAACACAAGTTATGTATACAGTTTTAAATTCTTCAGTAACTGTATTTTAAAAAGTAAAAAGAAACAGAGAAATCCATTTTAATTATATATTTTATTTAAACCAACATAGCCAACATATTGTCATTTTAGCATGTACTCCATATAAAAAAATTATTAATGAAATAATTTGCATTCTATTTTGTATAATAAGTCTTCAAAATCCACATGTATTTTATACTTACAGCATGTCAATTTGGATGCTAAGTTATCATAAATACTTGATCTTTGTTTAGATTTTATAGTTACAGCTTAATTTTAATAACTACCTCACTGACAGTTACAAAGAAAGAAAAAGTAGATTAATCTACTGAAGTTGTTCCAAACATACTTAAAATGTTTCTAATAACTGAATTGGCTATCCAATTTTAATGTTAAATTTAAATTCATTACAATTAAATAAAATATAAAATTCAGTTCGTCACTTGCTCTAGCCACATTTCAAGGGCTGAGTAGTCTCATGGGGTTAGTCATCATTGTATTGGATGTCATAGCTTTAGATTTTTAAATATCTTCAAGTAAAGAAGATCATATAAATTATTGGGTCCCACCCCTCATTTGAGAAATGAAGAAGCTCAGACACAGACGAGTTAAGGGATCGTCCCAGGGTCTCACAGAATGAGGCTTTGAAGCCTGTCCTCCTAACTCTTGGCCTGCTGCTCTTTCTTTGTAACTGTCAGTGAGGTAGTTATTATAATTAAGCTATAATTGCCATGCCTACCTTTAAGCTCCATTCATCAGAACCCTAAGCCTTTAGGACTATCAGCACATTCAAAAAATGTCTGTCATCACTGTTGCTTTGGTCAATGTGCAGTGAGGCCACCTGGGTGTCTAACTGGTATTGTATTGTCCTTGTCTCCCTCACCTCTTCACCCCCCCCCATCATCATGGGGCATCTGACTGCAGCAATACTTCATCCTGCTGATCCTGACAGATGGTGTTATCACAGACATGGCCGACACCCGGGAGGCCATTGTCCATGCCTCCCACCTCCCCATGTCAGTCATCATCGTGGGAGTAGGGAACGCTGACTTCAGTGACATGCAGATGCTGGACGGTGATGATGGGATTCTGAGGTCACCCAAGGGAGAGCCTGTTCTTCGAGACATCGTCCAGTTCGTGCCCTTCAGGAACTTCAAACACGTATGCATATACACATTGGGGCACTTTTCATGGAAGAGCAGAACCAAAGCATGCTCACCTCCCACATTTGTCCACCAATGTTTATGGTGATCCACCATTCTTGAAGCAACACCAGCTATGCTCTACATACCCTTGCTGTGGGAGATGACCTGGCTTAGCTATCCCTTCCTGGGCCACGTCATCTCCCACAACAAGGATATATAGAGCATGACTCTTTGGAGAAAAAAATTATAAATTGAGTTACAGATCAGGAGCCATGCTAACTATTGTAGGCAAAATTTCACTGATGCTTGCCCTATAATTCATATAATTTAGGATCTCTAGTGCATCTAGGACTGCCTACAGATGGGCAGCTTGTTCCCTGCCTAAAGGTGCCTGCCCAAAGTACCAAGCAGAAACTGAAATGCAGCTTATGTTTTGCTTGTCAAGCTATGTGGCCTGGCAGAAGTCTGTGTTTGCCTTGGCAAAGTATATTTCCAAAATGATAGAAACCTAAATCCTCTATAAAAAATATAGTAAGCAGCATCAAAAATTTATTTAACTCCTTCAAAACAAGATGATAAAGTTAGTTCAAAAGAGTATATAAGGCTGGGTGCAGTGGCTCACCCCTGTAATCCCAGCAGTTTGGGAGGCCAAGGTGGGTGTATCGCCTGAGGTCAGGAGTTTGAGACCAGCCTGACCAACATGGTAAAACTCCATCTCTACTAAAAATACAAAAATTAGCTGGGCGTGGTGGCAGGCGCCTGTAATCCCAGCTACTCGGGAGGCTGAGGCAGGAGAATCACTTGAATCAGGGAGGTGGAGGTTGCAGTGAGCCGAGATCACACCACTGCACTCCAGCCTGGGTGATGAGAGTGAGAGTTGGTTTCAAAAAAAGTAAATAAATAAGACAGTTAAAGTCAGTGGGAAAAAATGCTGAATAAGTTTGCTAAGGTAGATTGAAAACTGATTAATGACCAAGAGGGTAAAAAAAAAAAAAAAAAGTAATCTTTGAATTGCCCTCTCTGTGGGCCAGAAATCGCCTGCTATCAGTTTTCTATAAATTAATACCTAACTTTACAGTCTTGGGCTCTTACCAGTAAGAAATAGTAAGTCAGTCAAGCAGCATTGCATTCCCCAAGGGCCTTGAGGCAGAACCATTAGACAATGCTCTAGTATGACATAGAAAAAATGCTCAGTAACAATTTTCCCACCTTCCCAGGTTTTGATACATTGTGTCCATGGAGGAAGGAGCATTTTTTAAATTTCCACAAATCCCTGCACCTACTGAGCTGTAATCACCCAGAAGGACATCTTGAATTCATAAAAGCCTCCCTTGGGGCTAATGGTAGTCCTGAAGACCCCTCTAGAGTATCCTAGCTGTGTCTAGGCACCTGTGGGGGTAACTTGGGTATTACTGGATAGCCTTTGTGTTTTTTGTTTTGTGCTTCTTGTGAAAGCCACCCAAGAGGAGAGCATATGCCCAGCCCCTACTTTCCACTGAGGCCTTGCCCTCTGCACTGCTGCAGATGCCAACAATACCATCCCCAGGGCTGGTGACTAAACTTGAGCTGCCCTGGCAACAGGGAATCTTCAGAACCTTCAGTACCGTGAAGCTTATCTGTGGTCTCCTTGGAAAAGAAGAGAATCCTCTCCTTTCCATGCTACCGAGTCCCCTCTGTCACCTGAGTCATTAATGCAGTGAGATGTGTCTCCACATCTCAAAGACCCCTGCTGGAAAGTATCTTCATTAACTTCCACTGCAGTCCCTCCCTGCATAGGGCTCAAATCAGTTATTTGGGTCAGGCAGGATGCCATCCCCTCCACTTCAACCTTATTTGGTAAAGCCTTTCTCCTCCAGTCAAAAACTCATTCAAATGAATCCCTGACATTCTTCATACTGAGTTTATCAGATATATCCAGACACATCTGACTCCCAACTTGGGTTCACACTGGACTCTCACCTATACTGTGTAAGGAAATTGCAGATGAGAGGTGGAAAGCTAAATGGATCATCAAAACAATGATCCATCCATCCTCCCACCCCCATACATACTTGACTGTAATCCTGGTACCAGTCCTAGTGTGAGAGCCTTTAGCATATGCTCTTCAGAAATTGCTGTTTGTTGTGCCACTTTCTTTGGACAGGCTTTAAAATAAGAATTCAGATAGATCACCAGCTCAGCAGCCTCAGCTGAACTCTGTATTTCATGACCTGCCCAGACTTCATAGGGAAGTAACTGCACATTCCAAGGCTCCTTGGATGATGAGGTATTGTTCATAACTGTACTGCCACACAATTACTACTCTACTTTTAAGGAGGGCTGCAGTGTAATTAAAATCACTGAAGGAGCAGAAAACCAATCCCTGGCTACAGAGTTGATCACAGAGAGAGTTTCTAAGTAACAGCAACAGCAGTCAATCTTCCCACAAGCTCCCAGGGCTGTGCATGTGGATGAGGGGTAATTGTGTTGTTATATGCCATCCTCAAGTTTCCCTAGGAAGAGATTTTCAAATAAAGGTACTCATTAATGAAAGAGATGCACTAAGCCCTAAAGTTGTCTGCCTATGGACAGCAAGGAGTAGAGTCAAAAAGAAGTAGTATTCTTTACAGACGGATGAGCTAGAGCAGGCTAAATTTGCTGCAATTATGTTCATTAATGAAGCTAGTTTCTCCCTAGGTGTCTAAGATGGAGGAAAGGGTGTTCTTCCTGATTTTAATGCTGCATTCTTTTCAGACAGACAAAATAGATAGACACATCACTGAATACCAGTGATAACTTTGCATAGTGCAGCAGGATCAAAGAGTTCACTCTCTAGGAGATTCATTAACTTCCCCAAATCACCCTCTCTCCCCTCTGCATCCCCCACCTCCCCACTTCCCCACACACACTTGTGTGCTGACACAATGTCACTGAACTATGAAAGGTTCTAACCTCTACCCTCAAGTCTCCTCCTCTTCCCCAAAACACTTACAGAATGCTTGTTCTGTGCAAGGCACATGCTAGTCACTAGGACCACAATGAAATGATAGAACCATGGATCCACACCTCAAGACATTTACTGGAGAATTGCATGACTGGGAGAAAGGTATTAGCAGAAAAATCACATGCTAAGCAACCTGTGGGTGGTTGAGAAGAATTAAAATGTTGTTACAGGACCTCAAAGCAGAGAGAGGTAGCCATGGGAAAAGGCTTACAGCTTAAGTTAAGTGTTTGAGGAAAGACAGAGCCTTGGAGAGCAGGGAATTTTGGGGACATTGTCAACAAGAGGAATGCTCAGGGCAGAGCAAGGAAGTAGGGTGCTGCTCACAGTCTCTGTGCTACACAGATTCTCTGGCTGCTCTGTGAATGACCAAGGAAGAACACCAGGCGCATACTCACCCATCTTATCTTCATGGATTTCAAATCAGATTTTGAAATCCATTTCATTACCCAAACTAATCTACTTTGAATTCAATAAGCCATAAATAAAAGGGAAGGTAGCAGCTTAAATCATTTTATGTAAGCCATTAACTCATGAATTGCCTCTCTTTTTCTGCTCTGCATGATAACTCAGAGCTTTAGAGCTTACAGGGCACAAGTTATGTTATGGTCTTTTTTCCTGCTCATATAACAGAATATCATAGACTGGATAAAGAACAGAAGTGTATTTGGCTCATGGTTTTGGAGTCTGGGAAGTCCAAGAGCATAGCACCAGCACCTACAAGGGTCATCTCATGGCAGAAGTATGGAAGGCACAAGCAAACATGTAAGACACAAGGAGAAGGAAAGCACAAGGGGCAGACTCTCTTTTATAACAACCCACTCTCATGATAACTAACCTGCTCCCATGATACTGACATCTTATGAGGCCCCACTTCCCAACCCTGTTGCATTGATCATTAAGTTCCCAGCACATTAATTTAGGAGACACACTCAAACTATCATATGCTTTAAGCTTTGTGACTCTGGGCAAGTTATTTAACCTTTCCATGCCACAGACTTTCATCTATAAAATGAGGTAAATGATACATGCATTGCAAAGATAAGGTGTTGTCTATATAAAGCTTAAGATAGTGCCTGGTCCATGTAGGTGGTTAATAAATAAAGCTTTTATTACTGTTATTACCAGCTTCATTCATATTCTTGACCCTTTCCCACCCAATACATGTCCCCAAAGCCTTATTTGCTTGCCAGCACAGATATGCAAGGGGATGGGGGATCCTTTGGGAACAATGCTGTCCAATATGGTAGCCACTAACCACATGTAGCTACTTACGTTTAAATTCATTAAGAGAAAATAAAATTTCAAACTCAGTTCCTCAGTCAGACTTGCTTTATTTCAAGGACTCAATAGTTGCGTGAGACTAAGACCTCCCATACTGGACAGCACAGATATAGAATATTACCATCATCAGAGGAAGATCTATTTGACAGCCTGGTTTAGGAATATTTTTTGCTGCAAGCAACAGTAAATCCATCTTACAGGGATTACATAAATGGTTTTTAACCAAGGGTAACATTATGCCCCAGGAAACATTTTGGAATATCTGACATTTTTGATGGTAACAAATATGGGGCTTCTATTCATATCTAGTGGGTAGAGGCCAAGGATGCTGCTAAACTTCCTGCAGTGCACCGGACAGTCCCCCACACAAAGAATTATTCAGCCCCAAATGTCAATAGTGTCAAGATTGAGAAACCCTGGATTATACAAATAGAACGTATTTTTCTCATGTAGCTAGAAGTTAGGGGCTCATTGCTGCTGGAGTCAGTGATTCAATAGTGTCAGAGCCAGCACATTGTGATTCCCTTTGCTCTTCCTACATAATGATAAAATGGTTGCTATAGCTCCAGTAATCACATTCTATTTCAAGATAGAAAGGAAGAGGAAAGGGACATAGGGCCAACTGTGTCCAGAGCATGTTGGCTGAAGTCCCAAACTAAGTCCTGGACTATTACAATGGCAAAGGGATTAAACCAAAATGTTCATCAGAAATGTACAAGTCTTCAGGGCTGGGTGCGGTGGCTCACGCCTGTAATCTCAGGACTTTGAGATGCTGAGGCGGGCGGATCACCTGAGGTCAGGAGTTCGAGACCAGCCTGGCCAATATGGTAAAACCCCATGTCTACTAAAAATATAAAATTAGCTGGGCACGGTGGTGGGCACCTGTAATCTCAACTACTCTGGAGGCTGAAGCAGGAGAATTGCTTGAATCCGGGAAGCGGAGGTTACAGTGAGCTGAGATCGCACCACTGCACTCCAGCCTGGGTGACAGAGTGAGACTCCATCTCAAAAAAAAAAAAAAAAAACAGAAAAGAAAAAATGTACAAGTCTTCCAGAACACTAGCACCATGACCTCCACACACTTTTACAGAGTTCCGAAATACTACTCCTGCTAATATTTCATATTTAATACTTTTACTACTCCTGTACTTAAAAAAATACATACACCTTTAAAAATAGCACATTTTGGTGATTTTTAATTATCTGAAATTTTTTTTGCATGTGTAGCCCTGAGTCCAGAATCTGTTAAACTCTTGTATTGTTGAAGACTTTTCACAAGGGAAAAGTCTTTTAACTTTTAACCAGGAGAGAAAAGCTTTCCAAAAAACCTCCCCCAGGAAATTTTCACTTATATCTCAAAGGATGGAATTGGGTCATATTGTTATCCCTAGATGTAAAGGAAGCTGGAAAATCAAGGATTTGACTTTCTAACCTTTGTATGAGAAACAGCCAGGGAGGAAAGGGTATAAATGACTTTTGTATCTGCCCCAGTATACACATGGACCATGGTCTAACACACAACCCTGAGCAGTTATTTATAAAATAAAGGGATATCTGTAGATCACAAATGTCCATCATGCTATGACATCTTCAAAATGTGAAAGATCACTTGAGAAAAACTCTTTACAGTGTTTTCAGATTGCTTAAAAGATACATGTCTCTTATTTTGAGACTCTGTGAGATAGAGTGAATTATTTTTCTTTTCTCTTTTGCCTCTAAGAACAGCGGGGCTTAGTAAAGTTAAATGGCCAAGTGGCAAGCCACATAGAAAAGAAAAAACTGAAAACCAGGTCACATGGTATTCAGTCCAGCCCTCTTTCTTTTGGAATCTCAAACACTTGTTAAGTCTGCCTCAAGTTTTCAATCTCTTCAATAATAGTTAATAATGAGGCTCAGGCCATTGAAATTGCTTGCCCAGGGGTTGTACAGTTAATACTAAATGCCAGAGCCAGGAGTAAAGCCCAGCTCTACATGACTCCAGAGTCCATGTATGATATCAGCTTCAACCTTTCTCTGCTACAGAATCATCACCATAAATCACATGGTCCTCCTGTGCCCCTACCCCAAAATCATGCAGTAGATCCATAAGGCTGATAGAATAAAGGCTAAATGAATTAGTGTGGTATTCAAGACTCTCCATCACCTGGTCTCAAGCCAATTTTCCAACCAAATGCCCAACCAATCCTGCAACTACCCCTAAACCCCCTCGTCCCCCACCTGCCATACACACTTCCTTCAGCTCCATCAGGTAACTCACTATGCCTATGATGGTCAAATGCCATTCCCCTACCCCTTCTCTATGTATTAAAATATGCTCAGCTTAAAAGCCACCTCCTCTTAGAAGCCTCCAAGATAAGTTAGTCTCTATGTTTTTTATGCCCTGGCCTCACTGTTTGTGATTCTCTAGAGAAGAGCTTCTCAAATTTTAATATGCATATGAATCACTAGAGCGTCAAGTTAAAAGGCAGATTGTGATTCAGTAGCTCTGAGTTGGGTCTGAGTCTACATTGCTAATAAGCTCCCATGTAATGTGACACTGCTGCTCTATAGCATGTGTCATATTCTACCTCATAGTTAATATTGGCCATGCCTAGTTCCCCTCGTGATTACAGCCTTCCTGAGGCAAGAACCATAGACCCTCAAACCCTAGTGTGGCACCTGGAACATAAATAAGTGTCTAAAATTGAGTGAAAATTAGAAATAAAACTGCAGAACAATTCATTCTCCCATCCAACTTTTACTCGTCTTCAGATGTAAATAGTTTTATAGTTTGAGACAGGCATAAAAATATATAATAATGAAATTAAAGGTCCATTTTCCAACAATCTGACAACTATTGCTTGAAGTAGACCCTTGACAAATAACGAATGAATGAAAGTGAATGAAACTTAGCTGCCCAGAGCAGGACTCAAATCTTTTAGGATGAGTCTGATTCCTTGACCAGAAGCCAACGTCATGATGATTTCTTCTTCCCTGCAGGCATCTCCAGCTGCCCTGGCAAAGAGCGTGCTGGCTGAAGTCCCAAACCAAGTTGTGGACTATTACAATGGCAAAGGAATTAAACCAAAATGTTCATCAGAAATGTATGAATCTTCCAGAACACTAGCACCATGAACTCCCCACACAGTTTTACAGAGTTCTGAAATACTATTCCTGCTAATATTTCATATTTAATACTTCTACTACTCCTGTACTTTAAAAAACCAACAACATATACACATTTAAAAATAGCACGTTTTGGTGATTTTTAACTATCTGACAATTTTTTTTGCATGTGTAGCCCTGAGGCCTGGATCTGTTAAGCCCTTGTATTGTTAACTTTTTACAAAGAAACACAGATAACAATAACTTACTATTTACATTACAGCATGTCGCCTTGAAATAAAATGGTATCTGTATCCATTTTTTATACAGGTTTGTTGAAATTTTGCTAAATTTCTTATCTTTACACTCTAAAGCATTTTGAAACATTTACTGAATGTTGATAGACGAAATATACTTGGTTTTATCTGCTATAGGATGAGAGACTTTTTAAAATGGCAGATGCATGGACTGTATTTTGCATGTTTAAAATAAAAAAAGAAAAACCCACATGGTTTTTGCAGTTGTTATCTCTAATTCCTCCCTGCTGAGAATGGTCTCTCTACTAAAGAAGAGGTTTATTTACTTCTTCTTTCTGAGGTGAGTCTTTTTGAGGTAAGTCTGGGTCATCTAGCCCAGCACCTCTCATACTTTATACTGTGTACACAAATCACCTGAGAGTCTTATTAAAATTCAGATTGTGATACATAGGTCTGTGTGGGACCCAAGATTCTGCATCTTTAACTAGGTCCCAGGTGATGCTAATGCAGTCCCTGGACTATACCAAGAGGAGTGAGGATCTAGACTTTAGGGTGTCATGATGGAGACCATCAAAAACAGCGTGGCTTCTAGTCTGCTTGAGAATGGCACCTCTTCCTGACAGTAGCACAAAAGTCCTGCCTGTCTCCAGAGGTGACAGTAGAAAGTAATGAGACTGACTCCAGAAGCTGCACACCTCAAATCAGTCTCGCTGCTTTATACTCACACCTCTTCCTTAGATAAGACTAGAAAGTGCTCCTCCTGGCCAGTCCCTGCCCTCTTAAAAGTGGCATCACACACCACTGCATGGATGGTGTCAATCCCTAGAAGTGATCTCAAAGCGTCTTCACTGGAACCACAACAATAGAAACTTACACATGGCAAATGGCTATGCAGTACAGCTCCCGATATCTGGTCCACTAAATTGACCTTTGAGCTTAGTGTGGGAATTTCTTGCCTCCTTTCTATCACTTCTGAGAACAAATTCTATAAGCAGAAATGCCTGGAATTATTGTCTGGGGTCGAGGTGTTTTGTTTCAATATAAGCTGGCCAGTCTGGAACCAAAAGGACGAATGTTTAACTTGTATAATCTTCTTGCAGGGAAACAGGCAAGTGTTTTTGCAAGCATAAAAGGCACAAAGTGGAGTTTATTTTTGGTCAGAGAGATGAAGAAGTAAATCACAAGGCAAAATTTGTTGTTTGTTTGAAGAGGGGAGCAGTATTAACAAGCAAATAAAATGCCTTCTATGATTTCCACAGTTACAATTATAGATCCTAATCTTGCAAATACATGTCACCAAATGCACAACATTTTGGGAATGATGGTAAAATTGTATGACTGAAAAAATCATAAATATTTAAGCTATATTGTTTTATTAATAAATTGGGTACTTACAGAATTCTTCTAAGAGTTGTGGTCTTGTTTCTCTTTTCAAGGCAATTTCCTAACAATAATTTATTTCATGTAGGCAATGTGGCCTTAGAGTAGAAGTAGCTCTTTCACAGTCCAATGAAAACATGGATCACTGCTTCTAATAAACAAGAAATTAAAATATTTAGGTGCAATATTACAGAAATATCTGGTGATTATATCTAACCCCAAACCAAGACATGAACTTACATGTCTATATACCTGGAACACAGTAAACACTCAACAGACATTTAATAAATACAGAGATGACTAATAAAATAAGTAAATGAATGAATAGTCTTGTTAATATGCCTTATGATCAATCTTTAATCCACTGTAGATTTCACAGGTAGGTTAAGTGTTTGTGTCTATCAATTAAATGATGCACCCTGTCATTCACAAAGATCTGTTAGGATCTCTACACTCATGTCAGGATTCCTGGAGTCTGTGAGATGGGGCAGAGAGGACAGACTGCAGTTGGCCTGGCAGAACCTTAAAGCAGTTTACTTTCCTTTTCACAGTCAGACTCAAGTTCATCTCAAAAGAACAATAAAAATAATATCTATGAATTATTGAAGGGTGTCTTAGTCAGGTCAAGTTGCTATAACAAAATACCATAAACTGGGTAGCTTAAACAACAGAAATTTACTTCTCACAGTTCTGAAGTCTGGAAAGTCAAAGATCAAAGTACAAGTCAATTTGGCTCCTGGTGAGAGCTCACCTCTGGCTTGCAGACAGCCACTTTCTTACTATGTCCTATCATGATAGAGAGAGAGCTAGCTTTCTGGTCTCTTCTTATAAGGGCACTAATCTCATCACAAGGATCCCACCCTCATGACCTCATCTAAGCCTAATTATCTTCAAAAGTCCCCACCTCTTCATACCATCACATTGAGGGGTAGGGCTTCATATATGAATTTTGGAGGGACACTAATATTCAGTTCATAACAAAAGGTTACTGTGTGCCAGGCACTGTTCTAAGTGCTTGTAATGTACTATCTCATTTAATCCTCCCAACATCCTCGTGAGATCGGTAGTATTAATAGCCTTACTTTGCAGATGAGGAAACTGAGACACAGAGAGATTAGGTAGCTTGCCAGGATTGCACAGCTATGGAAGTTCAGAGCCAGGATTTAAATATGGATACTCTGGCTCCTAAACCCAAATTCATTGTATAATCCCCATTTCGGCTATCCTTCTTGCACTATACTCATTCACTTGCCATATCAAGCAGCAGATTATTAGGAAATTTGAGAGAAATTAGCCTTAAAATATCCTTTGCTCCCAAATTCAGAAAGATCCGTCTCATCTGATGATCTCAGATTGTTGTTTTGGGCACTTGGTGTCTCGTGATGTACAACATCCCCCCCTGAAAGCAATAGAAAATTCTCAAGCCACAGCCAGGTCTCCCCAACTTCTTGCCATCAAGGAGACCATTTAGGTTGGACATTACAAATACAGATGCTTCCAAGAGCTGTGCAAGCCATAGGAATAACTAAGAAAAAAACAGGTTTTAACAGAGGGACATAAAGAGTAAAGTAAGAAGAATGGAGGGAAACTGGAACGCGTGTGTCCAGAAGAAGGCAGCTGCTACCCAGGTCCAGGGGCCATGCAAGAATGTGGACCTAATGCAGCCAGCCCAACCAGTTTTTTAAGAAAACTGAAAAACATGGTATTTCACATAAAACCTACTGATCTATAAATATTGAAAGCTCATTTAAAATTCAGTAACTGTTTAAAAAGACGACAAGAGCTGGTTGGGTGCGGTGGTTCACACCTGTAATCCCAGCACTTTGGGAGGCCGAGGCAGGCGGATCACCTGAGGTCAGGAGGTCGAGACCAGCCTGGCCAACATGGTGAAACCCCATCTCTACTAAAATACAAAAGTTAGCCGGGTGTGGTGGTGCATGCCTGTAATCCCAGCTCCCCAGGGGGCTGAGGCAGGAGAACCACTTGAACCTGAGGCAGAGGTTGCAGTGAGCCGAGATCGCGCTACTGCACTCCAGCCTGGGTGACAGGGCAGGGCAAGACTCAGTCTAAAAAAAAAAATTGCAAGAACCAATCTGTGCAAGTCAAATGAAAACTACCTCTGGGCTTATGTTTGCTCTGTGTGCAAATTTGGAACCACTGAGTTATATCTGTGTATGGCCTGCTCTCCACTGGGTCTCAACAGATAATATACACACTTTAAAATTCTTGAAGACCCTAAAGAGGCTTTATTTCTGTGGCTTATATTTATTAACATTTGCTATATTAGGAATTGAAACTGGAAATGGAATATATTTATTAATTTATTTAAATAGCAATAATAGACCCATTACATGATAACATAAATAAAATACTTTCATAACAAACTATACTTTCAAAACCAAAAAATGGTCAGTGAGAAGTGCAGCATTGCTTTATAATTTTTCAAATCTTTAGTGCCTTGTTTAATAAAAGATTGCCAGATCCTTATATCTGCTTCTGTATTCAATGTGTTGTGAAATGATGTTTTGGTTAAAGTACAATGTTGAAAACCTGGCCTCACGTGGATATGTAGTTGGAAAGAGGAGAGCTATTTTTAGCTATTTCAGGTAATTGTCCTTCTTTTTACCACATCCAAACTCAACAAGTGGTAGTTTTTTAAAGGTTAGTTGCAATGTAGAATATGAAATCATATCAATAAAATTGTCCTAGCATTTTCAATGGTTCTTTTACCCATGCACTATTTTGTAGCATCATGTACTGGGCATTCAGAAAATATTGATCCACTCAGCTATTTAGATGTTCCAAATGCTTGCACAGTTTATTTTATAATATCAAAAAACCCTGCATTTTCTATTGCTGTACAATATCACTGCTGATCTCACCAGACAGTCTTTAAGTATGGAGAACTTGTCAAATTATGGTGGCAGGTTCAGGCTTTCCAAAACTCTAATCTTTGTTAGGAAGCTCAAATGTTATCATTGCCAACAAATACTGTCAGTTGTTTTTCTTGAAGTGACAGGCTTACTTCAATCATTTTTAAGAAAATATCTCCCAAGTCTGAATAGCTCTGGCTTATCTGTCAGTCATTTTACAAGTAAAAATGATGTTCTATGAGGAAAAAAAGCAGCTAGATCAGCTCCAAACACAATGGCATGTATGCGTTTCCTTGAGGCAACCATTTTAGGTTAAAATGCAGCAAAAGCACTTTCTGGTGCTTTACAATTTGTCTCCCAGCATTTGAAAAACATGAACTCACGGGTCAAAATTTAATAAAAATAATAATTTTCCTACTGCACCAGGAATAGTGTTAAGTAAAACTGTATGTTTTTTCTTCAAGTGTGTGATGATGGTGAAAAATACAGGGAACACTAGTACCATGTGGTGCCACTTTCTTGATGTGAGCTAAAGCCCCAACAGTTTTACTCACCATCGCTTTTGCACCATTGATGCCAGTGTCAATATAGAGAAAAAGGTGAAAAACATTTTAATGTTATTATGAAAATAGTTTTTACCTCAGAGACCCCCTGAAAGAGTCTCAGGGACCTCACTCTGAGAACTGCTTTTTATAGCCTACTTGCCAAAGTTGTATTTGTTTGCTATTTCTGCATAACACATCTACAAACTTAGTGTGTAAAAACAACACACATTGATAATCTCACTGTTTCTATAGGTCAGAAATCCAAGAAGACTCAGGTGCATCCTCTGCTTAAAGTCTCATAAGGCTGAAATCAAGGTGTCAGTAGGGCTGTGTTCCTTACTAGATGCTCTGGAAAGAATCTGCTTCCAAGCTCACTCCGGTTGTTGGTTGCAGTTGCAGAACTGAAGTCCCTGTTTTCTTGCTGGCTATCAGCTGGGCAAGAAAGTAGAGGGGAGGGCAGTGTCAGGGATGGTGGGGTGGGGGCAGACACAATCTTTACTCTGAAGGGCTTCTCACATTCCCTCTCACGCTCTCCATGGGGCCCCCTCCAGCACTGATGTGTCCTTCTCAAACATTGACTCTAACTTCTTTTTCTGCTGTATTTCACTGACTCCAGCCAAAGAAAGTTTTCTGCTTTTAAGGGTTTATGATTAGATTGGCCCACCCAGACAATCCAAGATCCTAAGCTCTGTAACCATAATTATATCATTCAAGTCGTAAACCCATAAACAGAACATGTTTATGGGTTCCAGGGACTAGGGCTTGGACTTATTTGGGGGGCCATTCTGCCTACCACAAAAGAAGAAATGCAAAATATTACTAGATGATTCTTAGAGTAAACGTGGGTTGTTCAAGAATCGTAAAAAGGCTTCCCATGGTAATAGAAGAAAAATACAGACCAAGTCAAGGAGTGGCGTTAAAAAATACTGCTGATTCTAGACCTTGCCTAGGAGAGGTTATTCTAAATCTGCTTGAATACCTCCCGTTTTTTAGTCTACCCCACTTGATAAGCACCAACCTTGCACTAGGCTTGGGGTGAGAACTAGGGGGATGGGAGTTAAAGTGAGAGAGGCAGAGATAAAAATATTTGGTCCCTGCTCCTGGAGGAGCTCACAGCCTAGAGCTGCCCTCTGACTCTAGGACTTTGGGATCCCATTAGACATATTATATATGCCTTAACACTTAAGACATTTACTATTTGTGGACTTTCTCACGAAGATGTTCTCAAACATTGAAAGTAGAGCAGTGGTGTAGGAAGAGAGGTAAGGACACAGGTGAGAAGAACAATCAAGCCAGTCAACCATGTTTATCATCATCCCCTCCCTTGCCCTCCACATGGAATAGATAATCAAATTCCTCCTTAAAAAACTTCTACTCTCTAATCCTGTCTTGACTCAGTGCCTTCCTCTTGAGCACGGTATGTGAAAATACCTGGTGTTTTCAAGCCAAAACAACATGAATTCAAATCCAATCTCTGCTATTTAAGAGTGGGATGGTATCTCTGAGCCTCAACTTCCCCATCTGTAGAAGAGGGAGAATGATTCCTACTTTGACAAATTGCTGCGATTTCAGATAATGTATGCAAGCACCTTAGAACAATGTCTGGAGGTTGTATTCCCTGAAAAGCAAACTCTAAGATCAAGATTAGAATGCAGATAGACTATTAAGGGAGTATTATCAGGATCATGAACTGCAGAAGGAAAGAAAAGGAAGAGGCACTCTGATCCCATAAGAAGCTTTGAAGGGGCAGCCCTTTGAAGTGATCCCAAGCTGGGGAAAAGGGGCCTGGCCTTTATACCCCATCATAGATAAGCCAGCAGATACCTCAAAAGAAGGGTTGGTTTTGGTCAAAGCATCTCTTCTCAACTAAGGAAATTTCAGAAAAGTTGAGCCTCTGGGTCTCAGCAACTGAAAGAATAAATTCTCAAGCCTGAATGGGGAGATCTGGGTTGCAAAACACAACATCTATGACACCTGGCATTTGCCACACTACTCGGTATATTGTGACATTTGCAATTATTACTGCCATCATTTTTTTGTTATTAATTTTTAAAATTTTTATTTATTTTTTGAGACACAGTTCCACTCTTGTTGCCCAGGCTGGAGTGCAGTGGCGCAATCTCGGCTCACTACAACCTCTGCCTCTCAGGTTCAAGCAATTCTCTTGCCTCAGCCTCCTTAGCTGGGATTACAGGCATGCCTGGCTAATTTTGTATTTTTAGTAGAGACTGGGTGTCACCATGGTCAGGCTAGTCTCAAACTCCTGACCTCAAGTGATCCACCCACCTCAGCCTCCCAAAGTGCTGGGATTACAGGCGTAAGCCACCACACCCGGTTTTTATTATTATATTATTTTGTTGAGACACAGTCTCACTCTATCGCCCAGGCTGGAGTGCAGTGGCGTGATCTCAGCTCACTGCAATCTCTGCCTCCCAGGTTCAAGCGATTCTCATGCCTCAATCTCCCGAGTAGCTGGGATTACAGGCACCTGCCACCGCACCCGGCTAATTTATGTATTTTTTTAGTGGAGACGGGGTTTCACCACGTTGGCCAGGCTGGTCTCAAACTCCTGACCTCAGGTGATCCACCTGCCTCGGCCTCCCAAAGTGCTGGGATTACAGGTGTGAGCCACCGCGCCCGACCCCGGCTAATTATTTTCAATTTTTGTAGAGATGGGGTCTTACTATGTTGTCCAGGCTGGTCTTGAACTCCTGGCCTCAAACAATTCTCCTGCCTCGGCCTCCAAAAGTGCTGGGATTACAGGCATGAACCACCTCGTCCGGCCTCTCCCTGAGTAACTTCAGTCACTGGTTTCACGCTCACAGTATTAGCGTACCCAGTCATTGACGCCAGGCATAGCGTCCACACTCATGGCTGCAGTCCGGGCATACAGCAAGGGCTCACCACAGAACGAACGCAGTGGAGCTGGGAGAATACCGGAGGTCTGAGAGGAACCTAAGCAGTTCCCGCCCCTCCTCTATCACATGGCAGTCGGGTAAAGTGAGGCCGGGAGAGAGAGGCTTCAGCGGCTCACCCGGCCCCCGTGGGCCTGGATCCAGGGCGTGAGGCTGTGCGCGTGCTCTACGCTGAGTCCGGCCCGGGTGTCCCCCAGCTCGGCCACGCGCCGGCTCAGCTCCATGGCCAGGGCCAGGGGCTCCTGGGAAGGAGGCGGGGGCCCGGGGCATGCTCGGCTTGGGCGAGAGCTGTCCTCCCGGCTACAGAACAGCTCCACCAGGCGGGCGAAAAAGCCGGAGGCCAGGCTGATCCGCTTGCTGCGGCAGGGCGGGGTCCGAGGCCAGCAGGGCTAGGCGGAGATTTCAGTTGCTCTTGCTGTTCCAGCCGCTGGGCCACCAAGGCATAGAAGTCTGGAGTAGCTGGGCCAGGCTCTGAACCATAGCAGGGGCGGATGGGCAGAGACCAAGGCCGAGGGGACTCAGAGGGGGCTGCTCCTCGCCCCAGGGAGCAGGGAAGACATCTTCGAAGGCGGCTCAGGAAGTCTGTTGGCTCTTCTTGGGCATGGCTTCTAGGTGGATTTGGAACAGGAGACCCAGCAGCCTCACCACGCCTAAGGAAGGCAGCTAGGACCCTCAGCGTGTCTTCCCGGAGCCCCAGCTCTTCAGAGCCTGCCATGGAGGCACCTGATCTGGGGCCCCACTGCCACCTCCTCCGCTCAACTTGCCATCTCCTCCACTCAACTCCTACTGTCATCATTTTTACACTTCTTTGTATAGCCACTGCTCCTGACTTATTCTAACCTTATCCCCTCTTGTCTAGAATGTAAAAGATTTTCCTAACTGGTTTCTGTAATCCATATTACCTTCATCCAATCTGCTCTCCATACTGCTGCCACAGTGGTAGTTAGGAAATAAATCTAAGCATCTCATTGCCCTGCCTAAAATACTTTAGTGGTTCCCCACCAACTTCAGAATGAAATCCTAATTTTTGAATATGACCTTGAACATAACATGCATCTGACTTTCATCCTGATCCTTGCACACTTTTTCTGCCCACTTTTAGCCACCCCACCCCACCCTACACTGCTAACAAACTCTTCACATTGGTTTGTTGTTTCCCCCATCCCACCCCTTCACCCAGTTAATGTCTACTTATCTTGGGAGACTCAGCTCACATGTCAACTCCTCTCAGAAGCCCTCCTAGGCCTGGCACGGTGGCTCATGCCTGTAATCCCAGCACTTTGGGAGGCCAAGGTGGGCAGATCACCTGAGGTCAGGAGTTAGAAACCAACCTGGCCAACATGATGAAACCCCGTTTCTACTAAAAATACAAAAATTAGCCAAGCATGGTAGTGCACACCTGTAATCCTAGCTACTCGGGAGGCTGAGGTGGGAGAATCGCTTGAACCTGGGAGGCAGAGGTTGCAGTGAGCCAAAATCGTGCCACTGCACTCCAGGCTGGGTGACAGAGCGAGACTCCGTCTCGAAAAAAAAAAAAAAGAAAAGAAAAAAAGCCCTCCTAAACCTCTCTTCCCTACCCTAGATTAAACTAAATATTTACCTTGTGGATTCCCTTTTTACCTGTGCATACCTCTGTCAGAACTTTTCTCCCCACCTAGTACCTCAGTTTCTCCCAGAGAACAGAGCCCTGTCTTACCTTTAAACTGAGACCCTATTTAGTGCCCAATATGTGATTAGAGCATGCAGAATTAAATCTGTAAGAGAAGTCATCCTTCTGGTGGGAGGGGAACCACTTACAGTAGACCCTCAGTGCAGTTTTTTAGGAAATATAGCTGGCCCAGCACTTTGGGAGGCCGAAGAGATCGAGGCCACCCTGGCAACATGGTGAAACCCCATCTCTACTAAAAATACAAAAATTAGCTGGATGTGGTGGTGGGCGCCTGTAGTCCCAGCTACTTGGGAGGCTGAGGCAGGAGAATCACCTGAACCTGGGAGGTGGAGGTTGCAGTGAGCCGAGAGATCACACCACTGCACTCCAGCCTGGCAACAGAGTGAGACTCCGTCTCAAAAAAAAAAAAAAAAAAAAAAGAAAGAAATATAGCTGGTAAGCACAAATCAAATTCTGGTGCATTAACTGTTATTACACCAAAATTCTCAGTTTAGCACCAAGATTTTGAGGCAAACATTATTAAGTACAACAAGCTTATAATACAAGAAAATGTGACCAGTTTCCCAAGGTTTATGCAATGCAATTATGTAATTCAGATGTCCCCCAAGTTTCTCCAGCCTTCCAACAAAATATCCCGACAGGAATGTTATCATCCTGTTGGGGTATTTTGTTGGAGCTAGATAGAGGTGGTGGCTCACAACATTTTGAATGTACTGTCACTAAATTTTCCACTTTAAAATGACTAATTTTATGTTATATAGGTTATGTTATGTGAATTTCACGTCAACTTAAATAACACACAATAAAATGTTGTAATACCCCAGTTTATTAGATTAGCATGCCACCCAGTCACTCACCTGGGTCCGCTCCCAACCCATCCTCACCTCTCACTTTGTATGTGGCTCCAGGTTCCTCTGCTAATTATCTCCTGCCCTTGTATCACATTAACAGATTTCTAGGTGGCTGCATTTTTCTTTAAATCATACCCCACACCCACCACCCCTGATACCACCATGGACACATTTTCCTTGCTTAATCCTCCAAAGTGCAACCAAGAACAGAAAGTAGTGTTTAACAAAGCTTTCCTGAAAACTTGTAGTGAACAAAGGAAATTATGATGCAAAAGAGATAAACATAAAACTGAATCCTGTGTTTGCTATAAGAAGTCATGGGCTATAAAATACATTGTTAATTTAATAACTCAGGAGAAAAGAAAAATCTCATTAAACATTTACAAAGGTTTGATTTTAAAAATTTCATAGTTGCCAATAATAAGACAAATTTATCCCTGCAATTCCATTATCCTTTCTTCTTCAGTGTCAAAATGCATCTAAGCCTTCTTCATATTGTTAATTTAAAGGTTCTGCCATTTGCAGTTATACAGAGCATCACAAAGAAATGTTGGTATTCATAACTGTGTGTGGGATCCTGACCTTTTTGGGTCTTTAGTATGCATAATGTAATAATCAAGCTTACTCAGAAACACTGAAGTTTTGTAGGCATTTCTTATTTTATTAAATGTACAGTGTTTTCTAATTTTAAAACCCCAGTGTAAATTCATAAAGGTGCATCAGGCTGCCATTCCATTCCTGTTTGTGACTCCTGAGAACATAGCAGGATTCTAAAACTCCAGCCTTGTTGATGGAACAAAAAATGCTTTTTCCTAAAAAGTAAATATGGCTTCAAGCTCTGAAATAATTTCTCTAGTGTTGCCCAGGAATTTATGAGGGAAAAAATAGATTCAAAAATATAATGGTATCTTATACTATACAGTGTTCTTTTAGGTATATAGAACATACATGCATATATATAAAACATATATATATTTTATATATATATATTTTATATATATATAAAATATATATATGTTATATATATATTCACTTTTACAAAATTTGAAAGCACGCCTGAGTTTGGCAGGGCTTACTCTAAGGTGGGCAGACACTGCTTCCCCATTAATGTTCCCATCCTGATAGCCAGAGTAGTTTCTAAGACAAGAATTTCTTTTACTGGTGATGAACAGTTTTGGTACATTTCAAGAGGAAGATTTTTTTCTTCACTCTTGCATATTGAATCATTTTTCCAAGTAACGTAAAAATGCTAAAAAGGACTTGCCTGCATTCATTAACAACCCAGAGGTAATCCTTGGCAATGCTGGGATCCACTGGGATTGCAATCCCTGCAATCAGAGCCCCAAATGTCAAACCCAGGTGGAATGGAGTGTGGGATATTAAAAATATCTACACCCACAGGAACTGAATTAGACTGAGAAAATAATTTCATAATCTAAACTAATTCATTTAGAATTTATTGAGCAAATGAATTGAAAGTGACTAAAAATATCATTAAATTATAGCCACAGCTCAGAAATTACCATCCTATTCTGTCTATGTTTTGTTTTTAGTATCTTTAGGATCAAAATGAGCTTACCTGAGCTGCCCCACATGAGCTGCCTCACCTGTAGGATTTAGTCTTTATTTTTTTCCTGCAGATCTCAGCCCATCCTAGAAAGTACATTTGTCTATTCTAGCAAGAATGGATAACAAGCTGATCTGATCCTCCAAAAGAAGGCAGAATCATTATGACTATGACCAAGAATTTTGGTGCCAGGCAGAAACAGGTTCCCCAGAGAATGTGTAAATTTAGTTAACCTCTCTGACCTTCAGGTTTCTTATTTGTAAAATGAAGACAATATTATCTACCTCTTAAGAGTTCTTGTGAGTACTTAAGAAGATAATATCTTTAAAGTGTTATATCAATGTATGGCACATCATAAAGGTGTCTGTAAGTCATTATTTATAGCATAATGGGCAAGTTGTACAGCCTAGAAGGCAAAAGCCTGGCAATACATAAATAAATAAAGCAAGCTGAAAAAATGCAAAAACCTATAGCATTTCATGGCCCTCAATAAAGTGACTAGCTCATTGATAAATGTTTGACCTGAGCCAGGCCAAATAATTCAAACCTAGGACTTTTGGGCTTGGATTATTTTGCTGGAGTTCTTAGGAGAATAGAACTCCTTTGGTGTTACTACACTGTGAGAATAGGAATCTGAGTGTGCAGGAGGCCATTCTGCTGCCTCATGGAAATGAGGCCAAAACAGAAGAGAGCAGAACATAAGAGATAAAATTGAAAAAAGAACAAGATAGCATCCTGATGGCCTCAGTTGGGCTCTGGATCCAGCATTGCCTAAAGTGAGATCTACCATTGAAATTTTCAGCCACAAATACCTATGAATTTTCTTTTCATTTAATTCAGTTGAAGTTGGAGTTTTGTTTCTTGCAATTAAAGATTTCTGACTAATATAGCTTGGCTTTTGGCAGAGAGAAATATAGTGGGGCAGAGGTAGACAGAGGCAGTGCTGCACGGCCATTCCTCCTCTACCCCACCAGCCACAAAGGGAACTCATTCCCATGACCTCCTTTCTGGTCCTTGAACCCTTACGGCAAAAAGAAGTATGTAAATTAATATGATGATATTGCTAACCTAATATTTTATTCTAAGTATTCTGCCCTAGAACCTTGGAGAACAGGTTCATCTTTGATTTCCCCATGGGACTAAGCACATAGCTAGCAGATAGCATGTAGACAGCAGATGCACATAGGATTTGGAACACAGAGGTGCTTGGATATTTGTTGAAGAAGGCAAAAATATTGCCCAATCACCAACCTCTACTTCATTTTCTTACATGAGATGGAAAAGAGACAGAGGCGATTCAATTTGCTGTAGCCTAGATCAAATCATTTGAGTTGCCACTGCAGAGAAAAGGCAAAAGGACAGACCATTATAGTGTCCTCCTCTCCTCCATCTCTGGGAAACCCACTGTGTGCCTTCCCATTATTTTCTATTGACCGCTCCTTACTATTTCCCTGGTGTGCATTATATAATGGCTCCTTACATATTTTATTTCAGGATTTGGAATAAGATGACTCGCACTTATATGCATAATACAATGGGGCGAGTAAAAAAAAAATCTCATATTCCTAGAAGCAGGAAGGACACAGTGATTATGGTGTTTTCTAAGTTTGCTGGAAGTTTGATGGGGAGAACTGAGGGTTTGAGGGAGAATGGCTTCTTGTCCCCCATGCTGGTTTCATTTTCTTCCTCAGAAGACCACTGTGCTTTAAAGCCCAAGAAAGTACCCATTGCAACCAGCACCTTTTTTCTGCTTGAGACCTCCCATGTGCCCATTGTTGGGACATTCACCTGTGCTCATGGGAGAAAGTGTACAGTTTAGATGACGAAGACTATTTCCCTTAGAACCAATGTTGATATATCTTATTTTCTTCTCTGACCAAGTCACAGGCTTCTTTTTGCAAAGGACTTGCCTACTCATAATGACATTTTACGTGTGAACATTTCCAATCTAATTGATGTTTCATTTTTTAAATTATTTTCCCCTTCCTTTCTGGCCATAACTTAAGCAAGGAGACATTTTATAAAGAATTCTGCTTTCAGTCTCCCAAAACAGCAAGCTCAAAGGCTGAGGATCACATGAAGTGGAAATAATAAGAATGTGAATTAGGAGACCTTGGGTCTAAACCAGGTTGTACTAGGTAAATGGCTTCACGAGGGATGTTTCTAGATATGTTGTCTTGGACAATTTACCTAACCTCTCCAACCACAGTACTTTCCTCATAGATTGTTGTGGGAGTGAAATGAAATAATATTTGCAAAACATTTAGCACAACACGAGACACTACATAAATAAATTCAAAAGTAAATTTATTATTGGTGATTTTATTACTGCTATTATTACTGTCATGGTATAACAGGAGTTCCTTTGCCAAAGAACACACATTCTCTCAAACAAATTATCATTCCCATCATGATGAACTCACTTGAAGGAACTTGTTTTCTTTTAAAGTCAAGTCTGCAGACACACCTAGCATTCTCTGCAATGCTCCTGGACTGGGTATTGTGAACTTCAAGGAGGAAGAAAGAGATGGAAGGATGACAGGCAAGTGCACCTTGTCCAGAAAGGAGTCATGGCTTCCTGGTGCAGTTAATGATGATGATGCTGCTGACGATGTTTTTAAACAGTGAAAACACTACTTTTGCATATGTTGTATTTCCATAGTAGTAAAAGGAAGCCAGCAAACATGAAGATAAAGGACACTAGAGGCCAAAAGAATGATGACAGGGTCTCCTAACATCTTCTTAGGAGTCTTGCATGATTACATCAAGATGAATTATTCATGCTAAAAACACCAATGAGAAAGAAAAGGATGTATGGAGATTTTTTATAATGATTATAATACCTAACAGAAAGTGAATATAAATATTATTATTAACAATTGTAGTCAGCATTATTTTAGTTCTTACTATGTGCCAGGTACTGTGTTGAGCACTTTATATATATTATTTCCTTTAATCTGTACTGTTACCTTGTGAAGGAAGTATTTTTTTATCATACTTTAAAGATGAGGAAGCTCAGAGAAACTAAGTGATTCCCCGAGATGCATAGAAATAGTGACAAAAATAGGATTTAGGATTTGAACCAAGACCTGACATTTCTTAAAAAAAAAAAGCTCTTGGCTATTATATGAGTATATCAATATTAAGCCCTCTGCTTCTGCTAACGTTGCTGGTGGAGGAGGCAGAAGCATGCTGATGGGCAAGACAGAAACTCTTCCTTTTGCTAGATGTTTGGTAACCCAAGTTCAGGCCTTTTCACCCAAGTCATAGTTCTGGGGTTGCCTCTACTCCTGCTGGTATGGTAATTCTGGCTACTTTCTCAGTATTTCATACCAGATTTCCACATATTTTTGAGTTTTTTGTTATTGAAGTATACTTCACATACCATGAAAGTCACCCTTTCAACATGAACAGGTCAGTTGTTAGTACATGCACAAAGTACACGCATCTGCAACCATCACTTCTAAGACTTCCAAGTGTTTCTGGAGCTCTTATTATAAATATGGGGTTCCTGCAAAGGCCAAACAACCACATCCTACGACTCTGCCTTTACAGAGTTTGCAATTTAATTGAGAAGCCATGATTTAGAAGCTTGAGGCTTCTCACTACTTATAATAAAAGAGAATTATACCATGCAAGAATATAAATATATATATTATACACACATACACACACACACACCACAATAATTGCTAAGAAAAGAGGGGAGCTAACAGCCAGGGCTATTGATTATGAGAAAGTCTTCATGGAGGGGGCAGGCCTAAGGCAGGCCTTGCAGATGAAGGAGAATTGGAGAGGTGGTGTGAGCAAGGAGGGACATCAGATGCAAGGCTAAATGGTTCAAGTGTTAAACTCTTGCCAAGCATAACTGTTTGCCCTACTGAGAGACTGGCTGAGACTTTAATAGGAAATAAAAAAGAGATTAGATGAAGCACAGTGATTTCACCCAGAAAGCACCTGGTCTATTTCAAGGTAATTTATATAATTGTGACCAGAAGCTCATCTCAGAAGCTCAGGTGTGTTGCTCATTTGCTTCAGGGGGATGTGTGCTTTGTGAAGCAAGGATACATTTGGACCTAGGTTGGAAATTTCCACTCTAAAAAGCCATTTTGTTCCATTTTGAAATAAAGGGACAGTGAAAGCCGTGCCCCACGATGCTTCATGGTTACTAAAACTGCAAAGGCATTTATTTCTGCCTGGGCATAAAGAATTATTTTAAGCATCATCTCCCGGGCTCCTTGGTTACTAAGGGAATCCTGTCTCGTCTCAGCTCAGCGGCACAGATGGGTAAGTTGCCATGACGATCCTGAAAGGCCTGGTTGGAGTCTAATACCACAAATGGAGGGACCACTGTCACCGCATGACCCCTGAAAGCTAGCAGTGCCCTTTCTCCCCCTTGCAGCCTGTCCATTCCTCCTACTGGACCCACATCAGCTGCCCAGTCCTTGCCACTGGGGGTCACAGGCACAGTGGAAAGGGAGCAAATGTCAGCGGCTCACTCTGTTTGATGGTAAATCTCCCCTTCGGTCCCAGACTGTGCTGTTGACGCTGGATCATAGTCAAGTCCCCATATCCTTTTGGGCATATACAATTCTTCAAGCCTGGCCTTTGAAGGGAGGACACACTAGTTTTTTATCCAAAAGCTACACTGGGTAGCACAAGAAAATATGGAATAAAGCTTATTTTTTCTCCTGTAAGCCAGACAGACATAGCCTGAAGCTTTTTCACAAGGTAAAAACACCCCACACAATAATTGCTAAGAAACGGGGGAGCTAACAGCCAGGGCTATTGATTATGAGAAAGTCCTCATGGAGGGGACAGGCCTAAGCCAGGCCTTGCAGATGAGGGAGAACTGGAGAGGTGGTGTGAGAAGGAGGGACATCAGATGCAAGGAACTGTCAGGCTAAATGGTTCAAGTGTTAAACTCTTGAGAGTTAGAATTGGTCAATCCCTGCAACTACCTAGATGCAACTTCATTATTTCACATGGACATATGCATGGTGCTTGTGGTTCTAAAGATGGCTGCAACAATCTTCCATCCACGTGTTCTTCTTACAATGTGGCTTTGCCATGTTCACATTCAGGGGTGGGTCTGTGTTTCTTCCCCTTAAATATGGGCCAGCTTGTGACTGAAGTCAAGTGACACTATGTGACTTTCAAGGCTAGGTCACACCAAAGGAAATCTGGTTCTCTTGGCTAGCTTGCCCTGGGAACCCAACCACCAAATTTTGTACATACATCTCTGCTTTGGCACTTACCTCCTCCTGTTTACCTCCTTTGTCTTTTCTGCTACACTGTGAGTTCCTCGAAGACTGAGATTTTTGTCTTGATGCTCTAGAGTAGAAGAAAAATGGGAGAGTGATTGGAGGTTTTAGAGCCAGACAAACCTAGTTTTGAATTTCCACTGTGCTACCTATTAGCTAAGTGTTCAAGTTGCTTACCTTTTTTTCACTCTTGTTGCCCAGGCTGGAGTACAATGGCACGACCTTGGCTCACTGCAACCTCCACCCCCTGGGTTCAAGCAATTCTCCTGCCTCAGCCTCCCAAGTAGCTGGGATTACAGGCGCCTGCCACCACACCCAGCTAATTTTTGTATTTTTAGTAGAGATGGGTTGCTCCATATTGGTAAGGCTGGTCTTGAACTCCCGACCTCAGGTAATTCACCCACCTCAGCCTCCCAAAGTGCTAGGATTACAGGTGTAAGCCACTGCACCTGGCCAAGTTGCTTACTCTTTAACTGACATGCACTCACATATGTAAAATAGTGAACATATCTATCATTATTGTCAGGAGAAACTTCGATGATGTCTATTCCGAGCCAATTACCTGACATATAAAATGCCCAATAAATAACAGGTATTATCATTGTTATTTTATCTTCTACATTGAGTGAAGTGTGATTCAAATTCATTTGATTATTTAAACAATATTTGCCAAGCACCTACTACTAAAAACTGTATATTTCACAGTTGATATGCAATCAAGTATTTTTAATATATGGATGTACAAAATAATGCAACTGATCATTAATTTGGATTTTTAAAGGATATAAGCCTTCTTACCAAAAATTACTTTTTAAATTTCAACAGCTTTTGGGGTACTAGTGGTTTATGGTTACATGGATGAACTGTATAGTGGTGAAGTCTGAGATTTTAGTGCATCCTTCCCCTGTGTAGTGTACATTGTAACCAATGTGTAGTTTTTTTAATCCCTCACTGCCAACTCACCTTCTCCCTTGTGAGCCCCTAAAGTCCATTATACCTTCTGTCTGCCTTTATGTACCCATAGCTTAGTTCCCACTTATAAGTAAGAACATACAGTATTTGCTTTTCCACCCCTGGGTTACTTCACTTAGAATTATGATCTACAGCTCCATCCAAGTTTCTGCAAAAGACATTATTAAATTCTTTTTTAAATGTCTGAGAAGTATTCCATGGTGCATATATACCAAATCTTCTTCATTCATTGGTTGATAATTGCAATTGTGAATTGTGCCATAATAAACATATGCATGCAGGTGTCTCCTTGATATAATGGCTTCTCTTGGGTAGATACCCACTAGTGGGACTGTTGGATTCAATGGTAAATCTATTTTTAGTTCTTTAAGAATTCTCCATACTGTTTTCCATAGAAGTTATACTAGTTTACATTCCCACCAGTAGTGTATAAATATTCACTTTTCACCACATCCATGCCAATATGTACTGTTTTTTGACTTTTTAATAATGGCCACTCCGGCTGGGGTATGGAGATATCTCAATGTGGTTTTCATTTGCATTTATCTGATGATTAGTGATGTTAAATGTATTTTCACATTTTTTGTTGGCCATTTGTATATGTTGTTTTGATAAATGTCTCTTCATGTCATTTGGTCACTTTTTTAAATCTTTTTTTATTATACTTTAAGTTCTAGGGTATATGTGCACAACGTGCAGGTTTGTTACATATGTATACACGTGCCATGTTGGTGTACTGCACCCATTAACTCGTCATTTACATTAGGTATCTCTCCTAATGCTATCCCTACCCCCTACCTCCACCCTACGACAGGCCCCGGTGTGTGATGTTCCCCTTCCTGTGTCCCATTGTTCTCATTGTTCAATTCCCACCTATGAGTGAGAACATGGCGGTGTTTGGTTTTTTGTCCTTGCGATAGTTTGCTGAGAATGATGGTTTCCAGCTTCATCCATGTCCCTACAAAGGACATGAACTCATCCTTTTTTATGGCTGCATAGTATTCCATGGTGTATATGTGCCACATTTTCTTAATCCAGTCTTATCACTGATGGACACATGGGTTGGTTCCAAGTCTTTGCTATTGTGAATAGTGCCTCAATAAACATACGTGTGCATGTGTCTTTATAGCAGCATGATTTATAATCCTTTGGGTATATACCCAGTAATGGGATGGCTGGGTCAAATGGTATTTCTAGTTCTAGATCCTTGAGGAATCACCACACTGTCTTCCACAATGGTTGAACCAGTTTACAATCCCACCAACAGTGTAAAAGTGTTCCTATTTTTCCACATCCTCTCCAGCACCTGTTGTTTCCTGACTTTTTAATGATCACCATTCTAACTGGGGTGAGATGGTATCTCATTGTGGTTTTGATTTGCATTTCTCTGATGGCCAGTGATGATGAGCATTTTTTCATGTGTCTGTTGGCTGCATAAATGTCTTCTTTTGAGAAGTGTCTGTTCATATCCTTCGCCCACTTTCTGATGGGGTTGTTTTTTTCCTGTAAATTTGTTTGAGTTCATTGTAGATTCTGGATATTAGCCCTTTGTCAGATGAGTAGATTGCAAAAATTTTCTCCCATTCTGTAGGTTGCCTGTTCACTCTGATGGTAGTTTCTTTTGCTGTGCAGACCCTCTTTAGTTTAATTAGATCCCATTTGTCAATTTTGGCTTTTGTTGCCATTGCTTTTGGTGTTTTAGTCATGAAGTCCTTGCCCATGCCTATGTCCTGAATGGTATTGCCTAGGTTTTCTTCTAGGGTTTTTATGGTTTTAGATCTAACATTTAAGTCTTTGATCCATCTTGAATTAATTTTTGTATAAGGTGTAAGGAAGGGATCCAGTTTCAGCTTTCTACATATGGCTAGCCAGTTTTCCCAGCACCATTTATTAAATAGGGAATCCTTTCCCCATTTCTTGTTGTTGTCAGGTTTGTCAAAGATCAGATGGTTGTAGCTGTGTGGTATTATTTCTGAGGGCTCTGTTCTGTTTCATTGGTCTATCTCTCTGTTTTGGTACCAGTACCATGCTGTTTTGGTTACTGTAGCCTTGTAGTATAGTTTGAAGTCACATTTGCCCACTTTTTGATGGGATTATCTGTTGTTTTTTCTTGATGATTTGTTTGAGTTTTGCCAAGAGCAGCTCAGTTGGGGAGACCCTAACCCAGTGGTGCTAGAGGAATTAAAGACACACACACAGAAATATAGAGGTGTGAAGTGCAAAATCAGGGGTCTCACAGCCTTCAGAGCTGAGAGCCTCGAACAGATATTTACCCACGTATTTATTAACAGCAAGCCAGTCATTAGCATTGTTTCTATAGATATTAAATTAACTAAAAGTATCCCTTATGGGAAATGAAGGGATGGGCTGAATTAAGGGGATAGGTTGGGCTAGTTAACTGCAGCAGGAGCATGCACTTAAGGCACAGATCTCTCATGCTATTGTTTGTGGCTTAAGAATGCCTTTAAGTGGTTATCCGCCCTGGGCGGGCCAGGTGTTCCTTGCCCTCATTCCAGTAAGCCCATCACCTTCCAGCGTGGGCGTTATGGCCATCGTGAACATGTCACAGTGCTGCAGAGATTTTGTTTATGGCCAGTTTTGGGGTCAGTTTATGGCCAGATTTTGGGGACCTTGTTCCCAACAAGTTTCTTGTAGATTGTGGATATTAGTCCTTTATTGGATATAAGGTTTGCAAATATTTTCTTCCATCTGTGGGCTGTCTGTGTCAGGCCTCTGAGCCCAAGCTAAGCCACCATATCCCCTGTGACATTTGGTGTCGTGACTCGGATCGGGGGACCTCCTTTGGGAGATCAATCCCCTGTCCTCCTGCTCTTTGCTCTGTCAGAAAGATCCACCTACGACCTCAGGTCCTCAGACCAACCAGCCCAAGGAACATCTCACCAATTTTAAATTGGGTAAGTGGCCTCTTTTTACTCTCTTCTCCAACCTCTCTCACTATCCCTGAACCTCTTTCTCCTTTCAATCTTGGCGCCATCCTTCAATCTCTCCCTTCTCTTAATTTCAATTCCATTCCTTTTCTGGTAGAGACAGAGGAGACGCATTTTATCCATGAACTCAAAACTCCGGCGCTGGTCATGGACTTGGGAAGACAGTCTTCCCTTGGTGTTTAATCACTGTGGGGACACCTGCTTGATTATTCACCCACGTTTCAGAGGTGTCTGATCACCGCAGGGATGCCTGCCTTGATCCTTCACCCTTAGTGGCAAGCACCACTTTCCTGGGGGGCAAGCAGGAAAGTGGTGCTTTCCTGTCTCTACCTGTGCTTTCATGTCTCTACCCTCTCTTTTCTCTGGGCTTGCCTCCTTCACTATGGGCAACCTTCCACTTTCCATTCCTCCCTCTTCTCCCTTAGCCTATGTTCTCAAAAACTTAAAACCTCTTCAACTCAACAACTGACCTAAAACCTAAATGCTTTATTTTCTTCTGCAACTCCACTTGGCCCTAATACAAACTTGATAATGGCTCTAAATGGCCAGAAAACGGCACTTTCATTTTCTGCATCCTATAAGACCTAGATAATTTTTGTCAAAAAATGGACAAATGGTCTGAGGTGCCTTACATCCAGGCATTTTTCACACTTTGTTCCCTCCCTAGTCTCTGATCCCAATGTGACTCATCCCAAATCCTCCTTCTTTCCCTCTCACCTGTTCCCTCAGTCCCAACCCCAAGCATCACTGAGTCTTTTCAATCTTCCTTTTCTATTGACCCATCTGACCTCTCCCCTCCTCCCCAGACTCCTCCTCAGGTCACTCCCTGCAAGGCTGAATCAGGCTCCAATTCTTCCTCAGCCTCTGCTGCCCCACCCTATAATCCTTCTATCACCTCCCCTCCTCACACTTGATCTGGCTTACAGTTTCCTTCTGTGACTAGCCCTCCCCAACATGCCCCCAAATTTCCTATTAAAAAGGTGGCTGGAGCTAAAGGCATAGTCAAGGTTAATGCTCCTTTTTCTTTATCCGACCTCTTCCAAATCAGTTAGCGTTTAGGCTCTTTTTCATCAAATATAAAAACCCAGCCCAGTTCATGACTCATTTGGCAGCAACCCTGAGATGCTTTACAGCCTAGACCCTAAAAGGTCAGAAGGCCGTCTTATTCTCAATATGCATTTTATTACCCAATCCACTCCTGACATTAAATAAAGCTCCAAAAATTAGATTTTGTCCCTCAAACCCCACAACAGGACTTAACCTCACCTTCAAGGTGTACAATAATAGAGAAGAGTTGCAATTACTTGCCTCTGCTGTGAGAGAAACCCCAGCCACATCTCCAGCACACAAGAACTTCAAAACGCCTAAGCCACAGCAGTCAGGCATTCCTTCAGGACTTCCTCCCCCAGGATCTTGCTTTAAGTGCTGGCAATCTGGCCACTGAGCCAAGGAATGCCCGCAGCCCCAGATTCCTCCTAAGCCTTGTCCCATCTGTGCAGGACCCCACTGGAAATTGGACTGTCCAACTCACCCGACAGCCACTCCCAGAGCCCCTGGAACTCTGGCCCAAGACTTTCTGACTGACTCCTTCTCAGATCTTCTCGGCTTAGTGGCTGAAGACTGACACTGCCCCATCACCTTGGAAGCCTCCTGGACCATCATGGACACTCTGGGTAACTCTTACAGTGGAGGGTAAGTCCGTCCCCTTCTTAATCAATATGGAGGCTATCCACTCCACATTACCTTCTTTTCAAGGGCCCTGTTTCCCTTGCCTCCATAACTGTTCCAGGTATTGGTAGCCAGGCTTCTAAACCTCTTAAAACTCCCCTATCCTACCTGTCCAAAAACCGGACAAGTCTTAAAGGCTGGTTCAGGATCTTCACCTTATTAATCAAATTGTCCTTCTCATCCATCCTATAGTGCCAAACCCATATATTCTGTTCTGGATCTCCAAGATGCTTTCTTTACTATTCCTTTGCACCCTTCACCCAGCCTCTCTTTGCTTTCACTTGGACTGACCCTGACACCCAACAGCCTCAGCAACTTACCTGGGCTGTACTGCCTCAAGGCTTCAGGAACAGCCCCCATTATTTCAGTCAAGCCCTTTCTCATGATTTACTTTCTTTCCATTCATCTGCTTCTCACCTTATTCAATATTTTGATGACCTTCTACTTTATAGCCCTGCCCCTACAAATCTTCTCAACAGGACACCCTCCTGCTTCTCTAACATCTATTGTCAAAGGGATATCACATATCCCCCTCCAAAGCCCAAATTTCTTCCTCATCTGTTACCAATCTCAACATAATTCTTCATAAAAACACATGTGCTCTCCCTGCTGATTGTGTCCGACCAATCTCCCAAACCCCAATCCCTTCTACAAAACAACAACCCCTTTCCTTCCTGGGCATGGTTGGATACTTTCACCTTTGGATACCTGGTTTTGCCATCCTAACAAAACCGTTATATAAACTCACAAAGGGAAACCTAGCCGACCCCATAAATCCTAAATCCTTTCTCCACCCCTCTTTCCATTCCTTAAAAACAGCCCTAAAAGCTGCTCTCACACTAGCTCTCCCTAACTCATCCCAACCCTTTTTCATTACACACAGCCAAAGTTCAGGGCTGTGCAGTCGGAATTCTTACACAAGAGCTGGGATCATGTCCTGTAGCCTTTCTGTCCAAACAACTTGACCTTACTGTTTTAGGCTGGCCCCCACATTATTCCTGATACCACACCTGACCCCCATGACTGTATATCTCTGATCCACCTGGCATTCACTCCATTTCCCCAATTTCCTTCTTTCCTGTTCCTCTCCCTAATCACACTTGGTTTACTAATGGCAGTTCCACCAGGCCTAATCGCCACTCACCAGCAAAGGCAGGCTATGCTATAGTATCTTCCACATGTATCATTGAGGCTATTGCTCTGCTCCCCTCCACTACCTCTCAGCAAGCTGAACTCATTGCCTTAACTCGGGCCCTCACTCTTGCAAAGGGATTATGCATCAATATTTATACTGACTCTAAATATGTTTTCCATATCCTGCACCACCACGCTGTTATATGGGCTGAAAGAGGTTTCCTCACTACGCAAGGGTCCTCCATCATTAATGCCTCTTTAGTAAAAACTCTTCTCAAAGCTGCTTTACTTCCAAAGGAAGCTGGAGTCATTCACTGCAAGGACCATCAAAAGGCATCAGATCTGATCACTCAGGGCAACGCTTATGCTGATAAGGTAGCTAAAGAAGCAGCTAGCTTCTAACTTCTGTGCCTCATGGCCAGTTTTTCTCCTTCTCATTGGTCACTCCTATTTACTCTCCAAATGAAGTTTCCACCTATCAATCCCTCTCTACTCAAGGCAGATGGTTCTTAGACCAAAAAATATATATATATCTCCTTCCAGCCTCATAGGCCCATTGTATTCTGTCATCATTTCATAACCTCTTCCTTGTAGGTTACAAGCCATTAGACCACCTCTTAAAACCTCTCATTTCCTTTCCATCGTGAAAATCTATCCCCCATCTGCCACTCTTGACTCCCTCTTGGAGTGGATAGATGATCTTTGCTGACAGAACACACTCCAATACTTTCACCCCGATGAAGTCCTATTCCTTACTTTTATACTCACTCTTATTCTAGTCCCCATTCTTATGCTACCCTCTACCTCTCCCCAGCTATCTCCACCACACTATCACTCTTACTCACTCTCTCCTAGCCATTTCTAATCCTTCTTTAACAAACAATTGCTGGCTTTGCATTTGTCTTTCCTCCAAAATTGCCGAGGCCTCGATTTACCCACTGCTGAAAAAGGAGGACTGTATATATTTTTAAATGAAGAGTGTTTTTTTTTTCTTTACCTAAATCAATCTGGCCTGGTATATGACAACATAAAAAAACTCAAGAATAGAGCCCAAAAACTCACCACCAAGCAAATAATTATGCTGAACCCCCTTGGGCACTCTCTATTTGGATGTCCTGGGTCCTCCCAATTCTTAGTCCTTTAATACCTCTTTTTCTCCTTCTCTTATTTGGACCTTGTGTCTTCCGCTTAGCTTCTCAATTCATAAAAAAATGCATCCAGGCCATCACCAATCATTCTGTATGACAAATGCTCTTTCTAACAACCCCACAATATCACCTTCTACCCCAAAATCTTTCTTCAGTTTAATCTCTCCCACTCTAGGTTCCCATAATACCCCTAATCCTGCTCGAAGCAGCCCTGATAAACATCATCCATTATCTCTCCGTACCACCCCCAAAAATTTTCACCGCCCCAACACTTCACGACTATTTTGTTTTGTTTTTCTTATTAATATAAGAAGACAGGAATGTCAGGCCTCTGAGCCCAAACTTAGCCATCATATCCCCTATGACCTGCATGTATACATCCAGATGGCCTGAAGCAACTGAAGATCCACAAAAGAAGTGAAAATAGCCTGAACTGATGACATTCCACCATTGTGATTTTTTCCTGCCCCACCCTAACTGATACGATATAACCTCCCCTCCCCACCCTTAAGAAGGTACTTTGTAATATTCTCCCCTCCCCCCTTAAGATGGTACTTTGTAATATTCTCCCCTGCTCTTAAGAATGTACTTTGTACGCCTATCCCAAACCTATAAGAACTAATGATAATCCCACCACCCTTTGCTGACTCCTTTTTCGGACTCAGCCTGCCTGCATCCAAGTGAAATAAACAGCGTTGTTGCTCACACAAAGCCTGTTTGGTGGACTGTCTTCACACGGACGCGTGTGACATTCTGTTTACCCTGATGATGATTTCTTTTTCTGTACAGAAGCTTTTTAGCTAAATTAGGTCCCATTTATTTATTTTTATTTTTATTGCATTTGCTTTTGGGGTCTTACTCATACTAATAATGATTTTTTTAGACCTCCAAAGGAAACTAGAAAATAGAATACTGGCTGGGTGTGATGGCTCATGCCTGTAATCCTAGCACTTTGGGAGGCTAAAGCAGGAGGATTGCATGAGGCCAGGAGTTTCAGTCCAGCCTGGACAACACAGCAAGACCCTGTCTCTACAAAAAAATGAAAAATTTAGCCAGGCATGGTGGCACTCACCTGTAGTCCTAGCTACTCAGAAGGCAGGCAGGAGGATCGCTTAAGCCCACAAGTTTGAGGCTGCAGTGAGCCATATCATGCTACTGCACTCCAGCCTAGGTGACAGAGCAAGACCCCATCTCTAAAAAAAAAAAAAAAAAAGGTAAGCAAAACTAAATAAAGAAAATAGAACAGTTTCTCTTAAAATCTTGATGTTATATCTCAAAATATTCCAAAATCAAATTCTGTTTGCTATATGAGTTACCAGCATTTTGAACTTCGGGCTTAATTGTCTATAATAGTCTTCCATTTCTGCTATAACAAAGTACCCAAAGCTAAATGGCTTAAACAACACAAATTTGTTATTTGACAATTCTAGGGGTCAAAAGTTTGACACAAGTCTCACTGGGCTACTATGAAGGTGGCTGCAGGGTTGCATTCTATTCTGGAGCTCCTACAGGAGAATATAGTTCCTTGCCTTTTCTAGCTTCTAGAGGTCACTGCATTCCTTGGCTTGTGGACCCCTTCTTCCATCTTCCAGGTAAACACTGTTAGGTTGATTCTTTTTACATTGCATTTATCTTACCCTTCCTCCATTGTTACATTTCTCACCACAGCCAGAAATGTTCTCAGATTTTAAGGATTCATGTAATTACATTGGGCCCACCCAGATAATCTAGTATAATCTCCACATCTCAAGGTTCAAAACTCTAATTACATCTGCAAAGTCCCTTTTGTCACGTAATAAAGGACATTTACAGATTTCAAGAATTAGGACGTAAACATTTAGAATAATGTGACTATTGTGGCTGGGCGCAGTGGCTCACACCTGTAATCCCAGCACTTTAGGAGGCTGAGGCAGGTGGATCACGAGGTCAAGAGATCAAGAACATCTTGGCCAACATGGTGAAACCTGTCTCTACTTAAAAAAAAAAAAAATACAAAAATTAGCCGGGCATGGTGGCGGGCCCCTGTAAACTCAGCTACTTGGTATGCTGAGGCGGACAATTGCTTGAACCCAGGAGGCAGAGGTTGCAGTGAGCCTTGATCACGCCACTGCACTCCAGCCTGGTGACAGAGTGAGACTCTGCACTCCAGCCTGGTGACAGAGCGAGACTCCATCTTTACAAAAAAGAAAAAAAAAAAAGAAAGAATAATATAACTACTGTTTTCTACCTTCCAGAAGGACTTTCACTTAGAAGACTAGAAGGGACCTCAGCTGGACAGATGAACAGGCAGAGAGGTGAAGTGATTTACTCTGTGTCGCACTGCTAGTTAAGTTTAGACCTGAGATTGAATCCCAAGTCTCTTGGCTCTGAGTTCACAGCCATTTTTAGAATGCTGCTACCCAAAATGTGGTCAGCACTGACATCATCTTGAGCTTCTTAGAAATGCAGACTCTCAGATCCCACCCTAGACCTAATGAATCAGGTTCCGCATTTTAGCAAGATTCCCAGGTAAATCTTGTACACATTCAGGGTTGAGAATCACAGGCTTTCAACATCACGTGGGCTCTGAAAAGCCTCCAATGAGGTTGCATAGGAATTGAATGGGTGAATATCTCAAGCAGTTCGGCCTCATCATTCTCTCTTGAGACCGACGGATTCTGATCTAGACTGATGAGACGCCTAAAGATGCAGGCTTAGCACTATCATCATCAATCTTTGTTGGTCTGGGGCATCCTCTGGATGCTGAGCTGAGTGTTCCAATAATGTGCTATGCAGCTTTCTCTTCTAAGGACAGAGGCAGTACAGCAGATCAGTTAAGCACTTGGACTCTAGACAGCCTGCCTGGCCTCAACTCCTGTCTCCACCACTTACTTAACAAATGTAAAGTTTGTGCACTTGAATGACCTGCTCATCGTCTCTGTGCCTCAGTTTCCATATTTGTAAAATGGGGTTGAGACTAACAGTACCCACTTCACAGGTGAGGATTAAATAAGTTAATATATGGAAAGCACATAGATCAGTGTCTGCCACTTAGCAAAAGCAATGCAAATGTTAGTTATTTATCATTTTTCAGGGAATCCCTAGGCCTCCTCTAAGTGGAATCAAAATCCTAAATGAACTCAGTCTTTAGAATTTCTCCAGATTCTGTATCTGTAAGGCTCAGAGGGGTAATCCTGATTATGATTCTAGGTGGCTAGAGTATCCACTGGTTTGGAGCTATACTCTGGCCATCAAAACTACACTGGCATTGGGAGGAAGACCAGGGAGGAAGAGATGTCCTTTTGAAAAGCATTGGTTCCCTGGCATGTGATGCTACATTGTCTGTTGCTAATATTTTTTCTAAGTAATCAAAGAACTTTAAAAAATGGACATTGGTATAATTACATTAAGTTTTGAAACCTTAAACCCAGATTACTACATGGCCATACTGCTTTTTTCTATTTTTTTAAGGCTTTCTTCAAGCCAAATGAATTTTAATTCTGATCATCTCTTGGAACCCTAAAGTCTGTGGGCTTACTTGGGAATTTACAAATAAAAATTATGTTTTAAAAGCAATATATTAAAGTTACAAATTGTGATTTGGCCTTACTGAAGGACATTGAAGCAGAATTCATTCTCTTACTGAATGAGTATCTGTGGATTTTGCAATACAGCCTTTCAAATTTTCTATTTCAGCCAGCAATGAAATCTTAAAGTTCAAAAATCTCTTAAAGTTTATTTTATCTATATCCCCATTGAATGCTTGACTCACTTTCATAACATCTTTACTGATTTTAAAATATGCTAGATTCTCACAACTTGAGAAAAATGGAGAAAAAAAAGGATAACTTAGTAAATCCAAACTCATTGTTTAAAAGATTTCTAATTTCAAATATAAGGTATGTTATAAACTAAGAGACAGCATAAATGAATACTAAAGTGGAAATTACCCAACACAAAATTTACCATCTTGCAATAATCCAACTATACAGGATATATCACAAACATTATAAGAGCTAATGGTAGAGCCTAATGGCAGGAACACATATAAAAGATTATTTCCAGTGAACTCTTGCTTTGAAATCTGCTCCTTCTATGATGATTCTCTTGTATTGAACATGGCTTTAGTAATTCAAAAATGAATCTATTCCTAATGTTTTATTTAATAAGAGAAGGTTTATGAGATCATCTGTTGGTCTGAATTAGCGGAGTAAGAGTTATAGAACTGTACCACTAAAAAGAGAAAGTGCAAGTTATCTTCGTTCCAATAAGGAATTGAAATCTTAGAGAGGCAAAATGGCATTACAGTTTCAGGGTCTAAGGCAGTGTCTGAAGGATGACATCAGAAATAACAGGAAGCTCTAGGTCAGTGCCTGACTGCCCTAGAAAAGCCTAGGCTGGGTCCCTTGACAACTGGGCCTAGTAGCTGTCAGCAGCATATTACAGTGACTAAATCAAGTATGACACCACTCAGCCCTGGCTGGCAATCAGGAGACACATTTTTTACGACAGCAGACAAACCATGTTTTACTTTGATTCAGTTCAGCGGTGGTGCCTGCTGTCAAGGTCCTCCTTATGGACTAGGAGATATTTGGTACTATGGGAAAAGGTTAGACCAAATGGCTACCTCTTCAATCCTCACTGACCACTGCGTGTGATTACTTACCGATTTTCCTCTTTAGCCTTAAAGAAATTCCAAGGCAAGAGTAGTGACATATTTGTCATAGAGAGCCAAAGAAACAAAATGTCTAAAAGCATAAGCTCTATCTATGGTCACAGTCTTTGGCTCTACCAGTTAATAGCTGGGTGATTTTATTTAAGTTATGTAATCTCTGTATGCCTATTTTCTTAACTGTAAGATCCAGATAATTATACTATTGTCACAGCAGATTGTCATAACAATCAAGTGAGAAAATACACTGAGAGAGTAAAAATGAATACTATTAGTAACTGGACTGCAGTGTTTATAGCAGAACATCAATACAATATTTCTTTTTTTTTTTTTTGAGACGGAGTCTTGCTCTGTCACCCAGGCTGGAGTGCAGTGGCTCAATCTCGCTCACTGCAAGCTGCGCCTCCCAGGTTCACACCATTCTCCTGCCTCAGCCTCCTGAGTAGCTGGGACTACAGGCACCCGCCACTACGCCCGGCTAATTTTTTTTTGTATTTTTAGTAGAGAAGGGGTTTCACCATGTCAGCCAGGATGGTCTCAATCTCCTGACCTCGTGATCCACCCGCCTTGGCATCCCAAAGTGCTGAGCCACCACGCCCAGCCCATCATTACAATATTTCTTACAGACCGTACTGTAGGCCACACCACTGCAGCAAAATGACTAACAGTTCCTTATTCTGAGTGATTCCTGCTTTCTTATGAACATCATGCCCACTTCCTCTCTGTTCTTCCTGTCTCTAGAACAAAGACTATCAAGATATCCAATTGCTGAACTGTCCTTTCTTCTTGACAGCACCCATTCTAAAACAAGTTCCTGCTTCTCTGATGCCACTTTAAAATCACTCAGCCTTAAGTCCAAATTTCATTTCAAGCCCCTCCCAGGTCACTCTTTTGGAAACATCCTCAGACATATGCTGTCTTTTGCTGCATCAAGCTAATTAAACTTGACTTTGTATGAGTTCACGTTTTCTTCTAGTAGCCTTGGCTTATGGGCTTCCACAATGCTGAGCACATACTCTAGCACACTATATGGATAAGAAATGTTAGTTATTGGCAGTAGTACAGAAATCTTCTTATTCTCAACTTCTTGCATGTAGCACACCTCAAAACATGTTTGTTCAATGAAGAGCCATCCTTAAGTATCTGGGAAGCCAGGCAGCATGGCTAGAATGAAGAGATGTAGTTTTTCCTTCAAGGTCCAAAGTATTATTGAAAAGTGTCTAAGGTAACTGCAACAGCAATGAGTGGAATGAATGGACAAGCAAAGCAAAGATTTTTTAGCCCACTAAAGTCCAAGTAATGGCCAGGAATTGACCATTGTCTGGACCTGTTAAACCAAGATAGCCAGATCTCTAGTAAAAAGAGAAGGTTGAAATAGCTACACTTTAAAGTTCTTATTTCCAAATTTCTACAAACAGTAATCTGACAAATAAGGGAATTAGTAGAAGAATAAATGTCCTAGTCACATACATGGTTATTAGGCTAGATCTGGAACCCAAGACAGGGGATTTTTTGTGCAGGTGTATTAGCTATCTATTATTGCATAACAAATTACCCTAAAGCTTAATGACTCAAAAAAACGGTAATCATTTATTTTCTCTGGCAATTTCTCCTAGTCAGTAATTCATGAGCGGCCTGGCTGGGAGATTCAGGCTTAACGTCTCCATGAGTTGCAGCCGAGGACTGGTGGATCCACTTCCTAGGTGGCTCAGTCATGACTGGCTAGTTGATTCCTCTTTATATGTTCCTCCCTGCAGAGCTGTTTGAGTGTCTGCAGGAAATGAAGGCTAGCTTTCTCCACAGGGAGCAATCCAAGAGACAAAAACTGAAGTAACAATATGTTTTATGATCCAGCCCTAGAAGGCATACATCATTTCTATGGGTGTAGTCTATTGATAACACATGCCAACCCTGTTTCAGTGCCAACTCTGCTCCTCTGCCAGATGTGTTGTTTTGGACCAGCACCTAAATTCTGAGTCAGTTTCCTCATTTATAATAGAAAAATAAATACTTCCTTTCAGGACCGTTTTTTATGATTAACAAATATAGGATTATGAAGCGCTGCTTAGCATAATGCATTGCCTCACAACGGGCACTATTTAGAAGTGTCTTCATTTTCCTTAGCGTCCTCAGGAAGTCTGTCCTTATTCTTCTAAAGTTTAAACTCTGAACATCCCTTTTATTTTACCCCTGGAGAGGCGAGTCAGTCCCTTCCCACCCCTACCTACTCCAACTCACATCCAAAGTAGGACAACGGTGGAAGCAGAACTATAGTTTCCGGGGAGCGACTCGAGTGCCCGGAGTTCATTGTAAAACGCACCGGAAGTGGGTCCGGCGGCTTTCTTTCCGTCGCAGAGAGCATCGGCCGGCGACCGTTCCGGCGGCCATTGCGAAAACTTCCCCACGGCTACTGCGTCCACGTGGCGGTGGCGTGGGGACTCCCTGAAAGCAGAGCGGCAGGGCGCCCGGAAGTCGTGAGTCGAGTCTTCCCGGGCTAATCCATGCCGGGTTGGAGGCTGCTGACGCAGGTCGGCGCCCAGGTGCTGGGTCGACTCGGGGACGGCCTGGGTGCTGCCCTGGGCCCGGGGAACAGGTAGGAAGGTGTGAGGGTGTCCTACCTGCACAGTTGCGTCCTGAAGCAGTGGAATGGCCTGGTGCAGTTGGGCCTCCCCTGGGTGGAGGAGGAAGGGGCTCTGTTGAGACGTGGGACACAGAAGAATAAGGGCCGTTAACCTAAGGAAGCACGTTCTAAGGGGATTGAAGTGGTGATTTTTAAAAAACGCTTATGAGCCAGCCACTAGCAGCGAACGCTATTAACAGCAATCATATCTTACAATTAGTGAGCGTTTGCCAGGTACTAAGCGCTCTGCTAAGTGTATTAGGTGCCTTATGTAGCCTCACGGGAGCAAACTGCTATCATAAGGTTTACAGATAAAACTGAAGGTTAGGGAGGTGAGTTAATTTGCCCAAAGTCACTCAACTAATAAGTGGAAAATTAGGAATCTAGCCTGAATTTATCTGACTACAAAAGGAGAGTAGACTGCAGAAAGCTTTACTTCTGTTCTGACCCTCCATGCAAGAATTACACCCCTTCTTCCTGACCTCCGCCCACTAAGGTCTTTCTTGGTATGTTCACCTGTTCAGAGGTCATGCCTTTTGTGGATCTTTTAACTTTGCACACCCAGTTTCTTCACTTCTCTGAACCTAGGCCATGTCATTGCAGGGAGGAGGTGAGCTTGTTAGACAAAGATCAACATGCCACCTTCTGCCACCTCCACTGAATGTAAAACTATTAAGGTACACTTCCAAATGGGTTAGTGGCTTTTCATGTCTATAGGTAGGACTGTTTTTTGGGGAATATGTTTATCTGCGAGGAGAAGATGAATTTTTTTCTCCAGGGTAACGACTAACAGTTTAAATGTGAGCCTTATCCGAAGGAATGTGGGGAGTGAGGAAAAGGTTGGAGACCTGAAAAAAAGGTATACAGAATCCAAGCCCTTTCCCAAGGCCCTGACTACACTTTCCAATTTGTGACTTCCCTTTTCTATATTAAGTGGAGGAAGTTTTTAAATTGTGGTTTGGTTTTATTTATTTTTTCTTTTTATAGAACACACATCTGGCTTTTTGTTAGAGGTCTTCATGGAAAGAGTGGTACATGGTGGGATGAGCATCTTTCTGAAGAAAATGTCCCATTCATTAAGCAGTTGGTCTCTGATGAAGATAAAGCCCAATTAGCAAGTAAACTGTGTCCTCTGAAAGATGAACCATGGCCTATACATCCTTGGGAACCAGGTGATTATTTTGTATTTGATGAGCTCTCATTTCCTAATTACTGTGTGGCTGGACACATTTAAAATCATAGTGACTACTTGATAATTTATCATTTCTTGAATTTATTTTTCATGTGCTGCGTGTGTTTTATTGTGGTTTGTTTTGCATGTTTATTTCCAACTTCCTAGTCTAGTTTTAGTGAATGTCTGATGATAATAAAGACCTCCTTGAGAAGCTGTTTTATAGGTGAAGGGAGAATCATTCTGCATAGATTCTCTTGTTTACTTCAGCTAAAAAGAATATAAGTCAGGAAAGAAAGGCTGGAAGAGTATGATGTAAATTGTAATGTGTTGCATGGATGTTCACTTGGGATGCTCTAGCACTGTAGATTTGGGAAGCATAACCCCTGGATCAGCTCTTTGTGTCTAGAAGGATGCTAAACCCATGTGTGGCCAGACCAAGAGGAATAAGGCCTTTTCTATTAAGTGTGTGGTCCCTGGTTAGGGTTTATTGTGACAGTCGAATTGGATAGTTACCAAAACTTCTTAGTGAGGCAACTTTACCAGTTTATGCAAAGAATCTAAGTGTCTTGTTGTAGACTGACATATTTTAGCAATGTATGACCAGTTGTGGCATCTCTATAGCCTCAGCTAACTTCTCAGAGTTTGAGTGATAGATGTTTTCTAATGAATAAAGTTGGGTAAGAATTGATACTAGGAAAGCAAAATGATGGATTTATCATGCCCATTATTTAAAACCAGAATATACCTAACTTATCTGTTTTCTTTATTTCATATATTTATGTTTGTTCATTTTACAAATATTTATTGAGCACCAATATGTCATGCCAGGCATGGTTGAAGGCACTTATATCTGTAAAGAACAGTCCTACTTTACTCTGTGAATATATTAGCATATTTCTTACGTGCCTGCTCCTCATACGGAAACCTGATTTTAGGAAAAACGATTTCATAATGTTGGTGAATGTTGCAAAAGCTTTTGTTCACATTGCTTTGGTTTTAATTGCCAGGTTCCTTTAGAGTTGGTCTTATTGCCTTGAAGCTGGGCATGATGCCTTTATGGACCAAGGATGGTCAAAAGCATGTGGTCACATTACTTCAGGTAAGAGAGAAACAGAAGACGTAAGAGATATCTATGTGTTTCAAGATCTGTTTGTGCAAACCTTAACAAGAACTATTTGTGTCCTGAAACATGGAACTGTATGGTGAAGAAAGGGGTGATGTTGAACATAAATAGTATTAAAGAACTTATGGTGGTTTCAGGAATGTTCTCACTCTTGCCTGAGCAGTGGCCTTCTGATACTGGTATTGGGATAACTGGAGCAATGAATTTTTTTTTAAGTATAACCTAGCCTTTTACAGATCCCCTTGTTTACTTCATAATTGGAAAAAAATCTCAATCCCATTTTGTTTCCTTTTATGGAGTTCTTTCAACTCCAGATTACAGTTTTGATCTTTTTGCTAACAGAATATAATACTCTTGTCTGGTGAGGCTGTATTTTGTTCACTAAGGTAAGCTATAGTCTAGTGGGTAAGAATGTGTGTCCTGAGACCAGAATACCTGAGTTGCAATCTTGATTCTGCCACTTACTAGTGTGTTCCTTGGAGCACTGTGCCTCATCTGTAAAAGATACTCTATTCTGTAAAAGAAATAATTGTGAGCTACTTCAAAAGGTTATTGTGTAGATTGCACCAGATGATAAATGTCAGGCACTTGAAACAATGTTAAGTGTCCACTAAATATTAGCTACTATTGTCTTTATCATTATCATTGTTGTTATTATTATTATTATTATTATTATAGAAAGATACTGGTAAGAGATCATCACTCCCCCAATCACTTTGAACAACTCAGTTGATCTTGGGGCTTAGTCTTAGGCAAGTAATGATACAGGTGATGTAAAGTAACAGCTCATGCACCTAAGTGCTTAGAGTGCTAATAAGGCTCAAAGAGTCTATAGATCCTTTGCAAATTATTATTGGCTCTGAATGATCAAGTATAAGACAATAGTTTTGTGAACTCTGAAGAAACTGGCGGGGGCAGGGGGCTTTCAGTAATGGCTGGTGGGATTGTAAATTGGTACAAAACCATTTTGGAAAACACTTTAGCATTATGTGGCAAAATTAAGACGAGTTAGCCTGTAGTCTAGCAATTCCACTTCCAAGTATTACTAGAAAACTTGAGCAGCAGCATCACACTTAACGCCAACAAACTAGAAATAACCCAAGTCTCTGTCCACAGTAGAACAGGTAAACAAATCATGTTATATTCACATAATGAAATGTTGTACAGCAATGAAAATGAACAGAATAGAGCTACACACAATATAGATGAACCTTACAAATATGTTAAGTGAAGTAAGACATGGAAGAGTACATAAAATGCATAAAATCTGATTCCATTTATATAAAGTTTAAAGCAGGCAATACTTTCCAATATAGTAATTATAAAGAAAAGTAAATAGTTACCATAAATGTCAAGAGTTATTTCTAGGGCAGTGCTTCTCAAACTTTAGTGAACCTCAGAATCACTTAGAGGTCTTATAAAACACAAAGATTCTGATTCAGTAGGTCTGGATTGAGGCCTGAGAATCAGTGTCTTTATTAAGTTCCCAGGGAATCCTGACACTGCTTGTCTGGTGACCATACTTTTGAGAACTCCTGCTCTTGGGTAAAAAGATGAGGAGGTGATTGGGAAGAGACACACACGGGCTTTTGGGATTCTACTTCTTGAGCTGGGTAGTGGTTACATGTATATTTTGTTTATACTCATTTTGTTGTATATGTTCTTTTCTGTATGTATTTAATCTTTTTTTTTTTTTTTTTTTTTGAGACGGAGTCTTGCTCTGTCCCCCAGGCTGGAGTGCAGTGGCACGATCTTGGCTTACTGCAAGCTCCGCCTCCCGGGTTCTTGCCATTCTTCTGCCTCAGCCTCCCGAGTAGCTGGGACTATAGGCGCCCACCAGCATGCCCGGCTAATTTTTTGTATTTTTAGTAGAGATGGGGTTTCACCGTGTTAGCCAGGATGGTCTCGATCTCCTGACTTCATGAGCTGCCCGCCTCGGCCTCCCAAAGTGTGTATTTAATCTTTTTTTTTTTAATTTATATTTTTAAGATTGTGGTTGGTGTTAGAGGAAAGATGAGGTAAGTAACTGTAGGGAATTCCTATTTGTCCTAAGGTCTCAATGGGGCTGGTTTGTAATGTTAAAATATATATTGGCACATGCTTAGTTTTTTTATGTTTGTTTTTTTAGGTACAAGACTGTCATGTCTTAAAATATACGTCAAAGGAAAACTGTAATGGAAAAATGGCAACCCTGTCTGTAGGAGGAAAAACTGTATCACGTTTTCGTGTAAGGATGTATTTTCATAGCTAGAATACTGCATTTTTCATCAGTTTCAAATCTGGATGAGTTTATGTTTTGAGATTGTTCCACAGCCACAAACTTGCATTTGTTTGTGAGGTAAATTGTGTATTTGGGGGAGGCAGTCTGGCACAGCCATTTTGCCCAGGAGTCTTGGAGACTCTTGAGTTTGTTCTAATACCTCTCCCTGTATCTGGAACAAGTAATTTTACCTCTCTAAGCTGTAGTGCTTGTATATCTGTACAATGGGAACAAAAATACTACATACCTAATAGATTTATCACAAGGATTAAATTAGGTTTTTCAGATGTGCTTGGAATATAACAGACACTCAGTAGATTTGGTTATTTTGTTATTGTTTTATGTTTCATTTCACTTTCTTCCTATGGAAAATTGTCTTAACTCTTGACACCAAGAGCATGTGGAAATTAATTTTGTGTATTCTGGAAGGAGCTTTCAGTGTTTGGGAGAAAGCTGTATAAGAATCCAAATCAGATTTTTTTTAATAAAGCATTTTTTTTTAAGTAGAGTACTGAGTTTGTAGTTTAAGTTTGGAAAAGCTGCCCAATGAGTATCCTGTATTGAATAACTAAAACCAGAAAACCTTTCTCAAAATGGTGATGGTTTTCAGTAAACATCTTTAGGTTTACTATAACACATTGCTTATCTCTAAGACAAACTTTTTTTTCATTGTAAACTGTTTATGAAATGAACAAGGCAGAAATTAGGATACAACCCATACTCTCTGACTGTCAAAACTATCAGGTGTTTATCCTACTAACTACTCTATTTTCTGATAGTTAACTTTTATTGAACATTTATTACATGCCACGTGCATAAGCATTACGCTTTTTTCATTTGTTACTTTATATAAACTTTTCAGCCTCTGAGGCTAACGCAGTTAACTAACTCATTCAAAGTCACCCACTGGTAAAAGGTAGAGCGACAGACACCAGAGCCTTACTTAACTGTGTCTTGATATCTACCCACTGGGAGCTCATAAGCTAGTGAGGAAGTTACACAAATAAACCAGCCATCCCAGTACAATATTATAAATCCAAGGAGCACAGAACCGGAGACAGCCAATTCTGCCAGGGAAAATCCCAGGAGGTTTCACAGGGAGAACAGAAAGGAAAATGGGTGTTACAGGCATGCCAGAGAGAATGGCCTCTGCAGAAGCAGAGACAACATGGAAGAGCATGTGTGCTTGGGGAGAGAAGTGTAATGTGGCTGCATTTTAGTGTGCAGGCCTGGGCCAGTGTTGGGAGGGTGGTGAAGCTGCAGCTATCAAGGTAGTGTGTGAGGTTTAGACTTCATCTTACGGACTTTGAGGTGCTTTCTGAATTCTTTAACTAGGTCAGTAACTTGTTCAGATTGTTAAATTAGTTAACTAAAATTTTAAAAATCTGATAGAAGGAAAGAGTTTTTAGGAGATTGTTTTAAGAGATCAGGGGAGAGTTGATAAGAGCCTTTAGAAGCAAGGCAGTTGCATTGAGATTGGAAGGGGCAGGGATTGGAAAGGACTAGGTGGGAGGACACAACTAGGTCAGTGCTGATTGCATACTCTGGGATAGGAACAAGGAAAAGGGAAGCTTTGGAGGAAAGATGTTTGAGATGTTCACAGGAAATCATAGTTCTATAAATGGTGAGAAATACTGATTAGTCAATAAGTGGTGGTGGAAATCACTGAAATCTGTGACATGGTTTATTTTGTTTCGTGTTAGAGAAGTTAGCTATTTTTGAATATTATGGTAGCATACTCCATTTATTTTTCTTTAAAGCTTTGTCATAATATCTGTCCTGCTATTCTTAACAGTTTATTGACTAACAAATTTGGGTTTCATATAACTCCATAGTAATTATAGAGTACAATGAGATATTTATGGGAACTTTTTAAAAAAATCAAGTGTTTGACTTTTTAAAAATTTATTATGTACCAGCCTTCATATGAGTAATTCTTTGGTTTGATAGATGCCACTGTTTTCTACTTGATTGTACTTCTGTGTTTTTGTAATGACTAGCATCATCATCTTCATTTTCATTACAAGTTTTGTAAATTGATGCCTTCATGGCCTGGATATTTGTAAATCAAGCATGCTAGGGTAATCCCTTCTGCCCCAGCCAGGTCTGTGAAGATTGCTTCCTCTGAAATATGAGGTAGTGAGAAAACAAGTGATGTGGGATCAGAAAAGTTGAGTTCTAATCCTGATTTCTACCTTTAGGTCCCCTATACTCACCTTTTGAACATCTATTTTCTTACCCATAAAAACAAGGAATAGTACTTGATGGTCTCTGAATTATCTTCCAGTTCTGAAAGTCTCACATTGGTTCTCTGAATATTTTAATTCTCAAGAAAAAACAAGTTTGGAGAAAAAAAGTACATGGGAGCTCAATTTATTCTATTTTACTTAGTGATAAAGATGTGTTATAATCAAAATTTTATGAAAGTAATACTAATAGTATTACTATAACAGTACTAATAATTAATATTACAGAATGATAGGTATTGCATTTCATAGTCGAGGCTGTTCACACATTTTTTTCTCTTTAGCTTATTCTGATAGCTTTATTCTCTTCAGTGGTTACATAGCACAGCAGGGTGATTTGGATGTTGTGTTCTAATGTTGTGGTGGATTTTGACCCACTTAATTTACGTAAACTTTGAAAACTTCACTTCTCTAGCATAGAAAGTACTGCGAAGGACCTTCTTTCTTCAAGATATAAAATTTCTTCAAGATATAAAATTTCTAAGTCCAGATGACATTTATTACAATAACAAGAAAAAGCTTTGTCTATAAAATGACCTTTCTTCAAAATGAAATGTGAAAATGAAGTTTTAGAATTCTTTGTAAATACATCATTTTTGTTTGAAAACAAAGATTTTTGAAACTAAAAGTATCCAGACTTCCATATTATAGCTCTCAGGAAAAAATGCAAATCGATTGATTATAGAGGATTTTTTAAAAAACGAAGACCTATGAATATAAAATTTCATATATCTAAACATTTGGAAATTAAATCACTTTATAATAGTGTTAGAACTGTTTTCTTTTAATCTGTAAAGAATTTATGCCTCCAAGAAATTAGACTACGTTGCCTTTTTGTTTTGTACCTTATTATAAATAAAAACTGAGGTAGTACATAGTGTTTTTGAATGAGGAAGTTAAGTGGCCTTAAACATTGATTAAATCAATTCATCTTAGGAGGAGAGGCATTTTCATTGTGGGAAGGATAATTGCAGAGAACTTTGAAGTGGGGGAAAAGAATGCAACCTCATAGATGGGATTATCCAACTGTGACAGTACTGTCAGTCTTTTAAATTGCCTTTTGAAATCATTTACTTATTTAGAAGTCTGAAAAAAAGAAAAAAGTCTTTTACATTGCTTCTGGTTTTAACTCTACTTGAGCATTTGGTTTTCCTCCTGACTGAGACCTAATTAGTTTTATAATATTTTGATTTTAAAAGAAAAAAGTATTTACTATTAGTGAAATTGGATGATAATCGAGAAGTATGTTTTACCTTGGTTCTATTTATGGTTTAGTCTAAAAAGTTACTTAGGATGAAATGTTTATATATATTGTCTGTTTTGTATTATTAGAATAGTAAAGGATTTTCCTCAGAAGCTTCCAGATATGCTTAAAAAGCTGGCATTAACAAAATAATATGCTTTGAAAATCACGTGGAATAGGTGAATGTCAAAAATAAACTTGAAGTCCATTCTAAAATTTAATAAATCTGAATTTTATACATCAGGAAAATAATTTAAAGGAGCCATACTGTTAAATGAAAATTTTGTGTTTGCTCTTGTTGCAGAAGTGAGTATGATTGAAGATGAAAAGCAGGGGACTTGATAATAGTGGTGTTGGGTGTTAGTGTTAATTTCAGCGTGTAGGAAATAAAATAATAGAGAATGATTGGAATGAATTTGTGTTATCACTCTTGTGGAGGAAAGGATAGCTTCTTGAGAGAACTCTTGTGAGGTATAGAACAGTCTTCAGTGGACATCAAAGTAGAGCTTCTTGGCATTTGTTGTAGGCTCCACTGGAGAGCCCCAGGGGGATTCCTGGTAAGTTGTAGACTGATCCAAAAATTAAACTGTGTGCTTACAGGCCAGTGCCACCCAATTTCATGTCAACTATAGGCAACTGAGTAAGTTATAAGTACTAATGGTTTACATTTTAAACTGAACAAGTAACTAAAGTTTGCTAAGTATTCACATATTATATTCTACAAACAAGTCTGACTCTGCAGGCACTTCATTGGAATTTGGGGGAAGGATACTTTGTTATTATCAGTGTCATCTTGAGTTGGTTAGGGTTTTTTAGTTGCTGCTATTCTTGCTTTTTGAAAATTACAATTACTATTGGTTTGGTTTTATAATAGTTTCTTGCTGATTTGTTCGTCCTCAGAGCAAGTCATGATATATCTCTTAGGCCTATACTTTTACAGTAACTAGACCTGAAGATTGAGGCCACAAACACAGTAACGTCGTGTTCCAAGAACTGATGGAGCAGAAGAGTAGAAAAGTGGGAAGAGTTAGACAAACTTTATACCCAGATGGTTGCCTGTCCTTTATCTTCTGTTTCTTTTCATCGTTGGTTTAGCCCACTTCTTTATTGTCTAACTTGCCACTGTGCTTAGCTGTAAAGTTAGAGACACAGATGAATAAAAAACAGCCTTTACCATCCAGGTGCTCACAGGTCAGCATGCTGACCAACATTTGAGTAGATAAGTGTATGGTGATATGGACAGTAATTGAGATATTCCAGTGTCTAGTGTTGGCATAGACAAAGGAGCAATGTGCTCTGGTAAGGCTGCTCAGAGAGGGATCTGGATAGGAAATATAACTGAATTTAGTACTAGAGACATGTACTTATATTTCCCAGTGTGAAGAGTGCCTCTTTCACCAGAATAAAACGAACACAGATACATCTACCTGCTGTTCCCTCTTCCTCAACTTTGAAGCTTTGGAGATGCAGGGTAGGGAGGAGATCACAGATGAAGAGAGTGGTGCAGACAGATTCAGGAAAGCATACATAGAGTAACATAGCCATTGGGGGCCTGCGGGTTCTTCATTTATGGTTAGAAAGTTGAGGGAGAGCGAACAGCAGGAAAATAGATGTACTATGTTATATTGTGATGAAAGAGGCACTCTTCACATCAGGAAATAAAAAGTGGCATAACTTTTTTGTCAAGTCCTATAGCAATCTATATCGAGTCTTAAGAATTAAGGTGGGGGGAAGACCCAGGAATTATAAGAAAATAAGATGTCCATAGGTTTTGTTTTTAGTGACACTGGTTGTAGTGATATTTACAATAGCAGGACAGAAGGCAGGAGTGGAGAGCAGACAGCAGGTTCTACCAGGAGCTGGGGATATAGCAGCAACTAAAGCAAGTCTCTGCTTTCAGGAAGCTTAGATTTGGGTAGGTTTGGGGGTGAAATGGGGAGGCTGTTACATAGAACAGGGGTCCCCATCCCCTGGGCTGTAGACTGCTCTGTGGCCTGTTAGGAATGGGAACTGCACAGCAGGAGGTGAATGGCAGGTGAGTGAGCATTAGTTACCACCCGAGCTCTACCTCCTGTCAGTCAGATCAGTGGCAGCGTTAGATTCTTATAGGAGCGCAAACCCTATAGGAGCTGTGTGTGCGAGGGATCTAGGTTGCATGCTCCTTATGAGACTCTAATGCCTGATAATCTGAGGTGGAACAGTTTCATTCTGAAACCATCCCTCTTGCTGCCTCCACTGGTCTGTGGAAAAATGGTCTTCCATGAAACCAGTCGCTGGTACCGAAAAGGTTGGGTACTGCTGACATAGAAACAGTAAAAAATGTGTATCATGACACATGGAGATAAATGCTTTGAAGGGTAATACTAAAAATATAAAGGATTTTTCTCGGAAGCTTCCTGGTATGCCTAAAAAACTGGTATTAATAAAATAATATGCTTTAATAAAATAAAAGTAGGCTGAGGGGATAAGTGACAAAAAATGATGCTATTTCAGATTGAGTAATTAGACAAGGTAAGTTGATATTTTGATTGATACCTGAATAAGTAAGGGAGCCAGTCATGCAAAAATATGGCAGAAAAGCATTCTAGACAGAGGCAATAGGATGCGCAAAGGTCTTGAGGCTAGTGTTTGATGTGTTCTTGGGCCAATAAGGGAGTGCATTTTTTCTGAAGCAGGGTGAGTCAGGAGGAGAGTAAAAGATGAGGTCAGATTGTGTAGAACATTTTAAACCATGGTAAGGACTTAGGACTTGATTCTGTAAGAAGTAGAAGCCACTGTAGATACATGATATGGCTTGAGTTTTAAAATGATAATGCCAGCCTGTGAATTGAGAACAGACTAGAGAGTCGGAAGGGTGGAAGCTTGGAGACCAGTTTGGAGGCTATTGAAATAATCCAGGCAGAAGATAGTGGATGAGGTTGACATTGGGATGGGGTGGTAAGTGGTTGGCGTGGGCTATATTTTTAAATAGTCTGGAGGAATTGCTGATGAATGGGACATGGAATGTGAAGAAGAAAAGAATCAAGGGTGACCATAAGATTTTTGACCTATACGGCAGCATTATGGAGTTGCCTTTTTTATTGAGATTTGGAAGAAGGCCTGGGAAGGGCAGGCTTGGTGAAGGGAGTTGAGTTCAGTTTTAGACACGTTAAGCTTAAGTTTCTATATGACATTGAAGTGGAGATAATGACTTGGCAGTTGGACATGTGAATGTATAGTTCAAAGTAGAATTTGGAATTGAAGTTAGAAATGTGCAGACATTCACATATATGAGAACCGAGAGAGTAGTAACTGGAAGCCAAGAGAAAGTCTTCCATGGAGAGAGTGGTCACCTGTGTTAAGCATTGCTGGTAGATTCAGTAAAATGAGTATCAACCAGTGTGGTTGACCGTATGGAGATCCTTGGTGAATGACAAGCACTTTGCATTGAGTGCTAGGAGCTGAAAGTGCTGATTAAACTGGGTTCACAGAATGGGAGGAGAGAAAGTAGACTTGGCAAGTCTTTCCAGGAGCTTTGCTGTAAGGGGGAACAGAAAAATTAGCTAAAGAATATGTGGTCAAGAAAAAGTTTGTTTTAATATGTGAATTATTGTGACATGTTATATATAGTGATAGGAAGTTCCAGTAGAAAGGGGAAAAAAATGAAGATTTCTTAGAAGAGAGTGGGGACAATTTCAGGAGGAAACCATTGAATAGGTGAGAAGGGGTGGGAATTAGTGCTTTTAATAAAAGTATGGAGAGCTCATCTGTCAGCATGATTTCCAGCCCCAGTTTGACATAGAAATCATGTGAGGTGCTTGAAAATTAGCAATGCCTAGACCCCACACTAGACAGTGAAATTACAATCTCTAAGCAGAGGGCCCTTGCCGTTGGCATTTTCCAGAAGCTCTCCATGTGCATCTCATGTGTAACCTAGAGTGGGGTGGGAGGATAGTACTGTTAATATATTAGTGCTGGTATAGACAATTTGGTAAAAGCATGGAGAAGTTCTCTTAATTCTTTTATTTGATCAACTCAAAGGGAGGAAGAGGAAACAGTGCTGAAGATTTTAGAAAAGGATGTGACTTAGTTTTCTTATAGAGTGTGAAAATGATTTAACCAGAGATATGTAGGTATCTCTAGATATAAGCAGGCCACATTTGAGATTCTGAAGTTTGTGGTCATAACATTTAAATGTAACATACCGTGTTTTCTTCCAGTTTAGAATAAGTGCAGAATAGGCAGAGTTGATTTTTCGGGGTTTGGGTTCTTAATTCAGACAGTCTCCAGTCAGAATTTAAATATGAGCACAACTCTCTATTTTCCTGCAGAACAGAGGTCTTTCCCAGTGTGCTATATTTGAACACTATGTACATGATTGGAATCTAAATAGTAAGATTATTCAGAGATGTAATAAAATATAGCTATAAATCTCACCTCCCTTAAATAAGGGGAATTGGGTGCCCTTTGTTCATTAAGGAATAAGGTATGCTTTGATTTATTTTCTGGGGTGTTAATAACTTGGTTTAGATCTCCATGCATTTAATTCCACTTTTAATATTCAATGTATTACTTATATGTGCTGCTTTTCCTCTAGAAAGCTACATCCATATTGGAATTTTACCGGGAACTTGGATTGCCGCCGAAACAGACAGTTAAAATCTTTAATATAACAGATAATGCTGCAATTAAACCAGGTAATTTGAGGTTGGGGAGAGGAGGGAGGTAAAAATACCCAAATATGCAATTTGTTTAATGTCAGCCCTTTCAATAAAGCTACATCTAAAATGCAAAGTCTCAAACACTTACTTTTAAATACAAAACTGTATCTCATTTTGTTTTTTTTTTTTTTTAGTGGAAAAACCTGTAGATAACTCTTTGCTTTCTGTGAGAGAGGGAGGAACACTTTTGTTTTTAATGTAGAGAGAGTTTAATATTTGAAAAAGCCACCTCAAAGAAATACACTAACTTTTAAAATTCAAAGATCGTTGTTCACAGGCTGGCATTCATGAAAAATAGCCAGGCTCTTGCTTAGGTAGAAGAACTGGAGAAAATATAATAACAGAAGGGACCGACCATAGCACCTCAATGTAAAGATTCTTACTTAAAATTTCCAAGATATTTTGCCTAATCCGTGGACTGTCAAAGAGTAAAGATTTGGCATATGATTATATTGGCTCATATGGTTAGCAAAATATAACATTTTGATGTCTGAACTTCAGAAAAGCTCCCTGATCTCTGAACTTGAGTTCTGACAAGAAGACAGTAGAATGCTGCTTTAAGATTTGGTATTTAATATCGGAACTAAACTGCTTTAAGTAAAATACAGTTGCAGTAGGCTTTTATTGGTGTGACAGAGGGTCAGCCTTGATACAAGGTAGAATTAAAAGTATTCTTTGAAGTTAAGATTTTGCAATTTTAAGGCAAGGTAAATGGAATTAAACAAATATAAAAATTAGTAGAAGTACTTGGGCCATTGTATATTAGAATAGTTTATAATGGAAATACTTTAAATATAAAGGGATAGTTCTAAAATATTTGGTTGTGTAGACAGTTCTGAAGCACTTTTTAATATTCTCTTTGGTATTAACACATCTAACTTTCTTAAACTCTTTGTTTATGTTTATGATAAAGATAAAATTAAGCCACATTAACTTTTGCTGTAGCTCAAATCATACAAAATTGTTTTTGGGGTCAAAAATGGTCAAAAATCAGCAATTCAGCCTCATAAAAGGTCACTTAATTTCTTTTTAAAAAATTAATACTATTTTTTGATTGACAAATCAAAATTATATACATTTATGGGATACAGTGTGATGTTTTGATAATATGTAGACAATGTGGAATGATTAAATCTCTATATTTTCTTCATTCAAGGTTTTTCTCTGCCTATATAAATCCAGGTTGGGTTATAACTTAAAGGAAGTTCCCCCCCTGCAATCTTACAGCACTTTGCTGCTTGTATTAAATAAACTATAACTATAAATAAACTTTCAGTTACATTCTCTACTACAGTGGTTTCTGCCATTTAAAAAAATGTATCTTATTTGATGATGTTAATGTTTATTCTTCACCAAGATAATAAATTTCTTGCTGTCAGGGGCCATGTCTTATATTCTTATATTCTTGAATTTCTAGCTGCACATATTTGTAAGTGCCCTATAAATGTTTGCTAATTGATTGCCAAATAGTTCTTATAAATGTTACTTTCAAGTTTATGTAAACAATATTATGAAGGGCTTTGATTCATCACAAAATTTAAAACTTTTTAAAATAACATTTCCCAAGTACATTTAAAGTAAGACTTTATTTGCATACAACTAGTTTTGTAAACGTTTCTATATAAAATTTAATAAGTATCTATAAAGGCAATTTTTTGCTATTCTAATTATCTAGGCATGAACTGGAGAACTATAGTTTATTGGTACAATGAAGAGTTCACCCAAAATCTGATATGTAGAGGCTTTATATAGATGTCATACATACCATGATCATTACACACCATATGAGGGACTTGGGTTCAAGTAATTGTTTCCTGTTTGTCCAATGGGTGCAGGATATTTAATGAAGCCCCAACATTTTTTGGTTATTCTTGTTTTTGTTTTCCCAATGTGAAGACAAGAAACATATCTTAATTTAGTATACTGTTATTCACTAAAACAACCAAGAATCATCAAATTTATATGTTTGACAGCAAGAACACTGTGTTGTCATGGGAATCACTCATTTCAAACAGCACCACTTTTGGTCTCTGTGAAGTCAATCAAAAGACATATTTGTTGAATAATTTCATTGTTTGGATGTTTCTAATTGCAGAAGAGAATCTCTTACCATTTTTGAAATCAGCTAGAAGCCTTCCTGGATATAGTTTATGTTGAATAAAGTTGTTTCTGTGCTGTCAAATTTCATATTGATTTTTCATTTTCTTTTCATAAAGGCACTCCTCTTTATGCTGCTCACTTTCGTCCAGGACAGTATGTGGATGTCACAGCCAAAACGTAGGTCCTCATAGCGAGTTCTCTTTTCCTTTTGTTTTCATCTATTAAAAGAGAATAGAATAAGTGAAAGAAGTACAGTCTTTCAAGTCAGTGAATAAAGGATAAATATATTTCTCATTCTGAATTCAAATCTTTCATGTTACCTACACTGGTTTTTAAATTGTGCCAAATTAATTGTATGTAAAGGGTTCACATCAGGTTATAGCTTTTATTTTTATTTGTTTTTTTTTTATTATACTTTAAGTTCTAGGGTACATGTGCACAACGTGCAGGTTTGATACATAGGTAGACGTGTGCCATGTTGGTTTGCTGCACCCATCAACTCGTCATTTATATTAGGTATTTCTCTTAATGCTATCCCTCCCCCAGCCCCTCACCGCTGACAGGGCCTGGTGTGTGATGTTCCCCGCCCTGTGTCCAAGTGTTCTCATTGTTCAATTCCCACCTATGAGTGAGAACATGCGGTGTTTGGTTTTCTGTCCTTGTGATAGTTTGCTCAGAATGATGGTTTCCAGCTTCCATGTCCCTGCAAAGGACATGAACTCATCTTTTTTTATGGCTGCATAGTATTCCATGGTGTATATGTGCTACATTTTGTTAATCCAGTCTATCATTGATGGACATTCGGGTTGGTTCCAAGTCTTTGCTATTGTGAATAGTGCCACAATAAACATATGTGTGCATGTGTCTTTATAGTAGCATGATTTATAATCCTTTGGGTATATACCCAGTAATGGGATTGCTGGGTCAAATGGTATTTCTAGTTCTAGATCCTTGAGGAATCGCCACACTGTCTTCCATAATGGTTGAACTAATTTACACTCCCACCAACAGTGTAAAAGCGTTTGTATTTCTCCACATCCTCTCCAGCATCTGTTGTTTCCTTTTTAATGATTGCCATTCTGACTGGCATGAGATGGTATCTCATTGTGGTTTTGATTTGCATTTCTTTGATGACCGGTGATGAGCATTTTTTCATGTGTCTGTTGGCTGCATAGTTGTCTTCTTTTGAGAAGTGTCTGTTCATATCCTTTGCCCACTTTTTGATGGGGTTGGTTTTTTTCTTGTAAATTTGTTTGAGTTCTTTGTAGATTCTGGATATTAGCCCTGTGTCAGATGGGTAGATTACAAAAATTTTCCAGCGCACCAGCATGGCACATGTATACATATGTAACTAACCTGCACAATGTGCACATGTACCCTAAAACTTAGAGTATAATAAAAAAAAAAAAAAATTTTTCTCCCATTCTGTAGGTTGCCTATTCATTCTGATGGTAGTTTTTTTTGGTTTTTTTTTTTTTTTTTTTTTTTTTTTGCCGTGCAGAAGCTCTTTGGTTTAATGAGATCCCATTTGTCAATTTTGGCTTTTGTTGCCATTGCTTTTGGTGTTTCAGTCATGAAGTCCTTGCCCATGCCTATGTCCTGAATAGTATTGCCTAGGTTTTCTTCTAGGGTTTTTATGGTTTTAGGTCTAACATTTAAGTCTTTAATCCATCTTGAATTAATTTTTGTATAAGGTGTAAGAAAGGGATCCAGTTTCATCTTTCTACATATGGCTAGCCAGTTTTCCCAGCACCATTTATTAAATAGGGAATCCTTTCCCCATTTCTTGTTGTTGTCAAGTTTGTCAAAGATCAGATGTTTGTTTCTTCAACATAAATGATAATTTCATTTCTTTTGATGCCTCAGTTTTCTCCTTTTTGTTGCATGATAATTCTGCAGGGATTATTCTGACTAGGAACCCTCTGAAAAATATGCCATTGTTTACAGATGCTCTGGGATAAGTTTGTAATCACAGAGATTGAGCCAGAGCACCTTTTATCAAAAGAAACTGGGGGAGTGCTAGTATCACTTTCCTTCACATGGTTAAGATGCATTCTTCCTAGTTTCAAATATAGGTCATTGCAAAAGCTGCTGGCTGCTTTAATAACCTTCATTTCGCTATTTAGAAATGAAATGTGGGATAGATTGGTAATAAGATGAGTCTTCTTTTTAAAGAGATTGTAAACCTGTCCCCCTTTTTTTTTTCCTGCTTCCTGATTATCGTGAACTTGTTCCTAGTTACAAGAACCCCTGAAATCACTGGTTCCTTGGTAACTCTGTTTTGCATTCCTTTGGCAGAACTCAAAATATTGGAGCTTAAAAGCTTTGATTTGGTTAGTTGGGGAAATATGTGTGTTGTAAATCAGATTATTTTACTTGTTAATTTTTGAATTATTGCATATAAAATGCCACATAGTAATTTTGTTAATTTACACACAGTTAATGTTGTGTGAATTCCATTATGTATTTTATACAATATGGGATATTCTAAGAAACCACGCAAAGTCAGAGGCCTTTGTTAACATTTGCCTTGTGGCTGGACTTGTGACTAACTTGGATTAGAGTCTAGCTTTTCAAATGCCTATCTTCAGTGAATGCTTTCATCTCATATGCTTCTGTTTGGTTTCCTTGGCTTCTTTAAAGTGATTTTTAAAACTTCAGCTGCCTTCTTGTAAGCATAAAGTAAAAGAGGAAAACTTTTGTTTTTTGGTTTTTTGTAAGATCATTTTCATAGAAAACAAGATTATGTAAAGCCATGCACCAGCTTCAGGATTAAATAGCTGGTAAGAGTTGGGGGAACAACCAGCCCTGGAATTTAAAGTAGTGATAGTCAACTCTGGAGAAGTGAGGACCTCCATTTGAGAAGATCACCACTGTTATATGGGCTACAATACAATATTCTGTTTAACTTTTACTGTATTAACAGTGGGGCAGGGTTTTCCTCGCATGTGTGTGTGCATATCTTCATGAGGTATTTATTACTTACATGAGAATGAATTGGACTTTATTTGACCTTTTGCTAAATGTTACCAATAACTATAGCTCTTGTAGCTGACATCTTATTATTGCTGTAAGGTGCTTTTAATTTTAAATGCTTGTAAATTTATAGGATTCGTTGTCCTTCTCATCTGGAACTGTTTTGAATTTCCTGAGTGCAGCATTGTATTCCCAGCTGCATACAGCCCTAGTTGCCACTGCCTCTTCTCTCTGCCACTGACTTCCCACGTCTGTACATGTACACATACATGTGCATACCTTTGTTTAACTTTTTTTTTCTTTTTTAAACTCCTCTCTCTACTTTCCTTAATGCATTTTGGAACTTTTCGGCTCTATCTTCTGGATATTAATCCTGTTGGAAGGGTGAACACTAGGGGAACAATATGTGCAGTGCCATGGTTAAGGGAGTGATGAAAGGACATGGATTTATAGGCTGGAGCAGTGGGTCTCATGCTTGAGTAGGCTTTATAATCTCTTGGAGGTTTAGTTGAGCACAAATTGATGGACCCCACCCACGGAACTTCTGATTCTGTAGGTCTGGGGTTAATACCTGAGAATTTGCATTTCTACCAAGTTTCCAGGTGATATAGATGCTGCTGGTCCGGAAACACACATTGAGAACCACTGGGCTGGAAAATAGAAGCTCATCAGTTAAACCACTTTTCCTCCTCACTCCTCTACCTAGCACAGAATTCAGAATGCCTTTCTTTCCTTAACTCTGCTTGAATTATAACATACAAACATCTGTTTAAAAGCAAGCAAGTTTAATGTAATTAAAATAACATTGCCAATAAAAGTGAGTATTTATTACATTTTAGTTAGCATAAAACTGAAAACTAGTCTGTTTAGTAATTGGCTTCATTATCTTTTCATTAGAAAAGAGAAAAATCTCAATCCCTAATTTCTTAATTTTTCTCATGCTGTAATGTATTTTAATTATCAATCTTCACTTATATTTTTAGTACTAGATTTCAATGTTTCAATGTTATACCTTCAACTTTAATTGCTGAGTTAAATGTACTTTAGAAATAACTAAGAAAATTTTTTATAGGAACAAACACTGTCTGCATTTCAAGAAAATAGTGTGAGAAGTATCTGTCTACCTCAGGAATGAAATTGTCTGCAGACAGTTTTTTAAAAAGTGGCCAGTAACCAACAGTAACAGCTTCTTGACGATATACTTACAATTTTAAAGTGTTCCTTTTAAAATAAAATTTTGTTAGGAAACTTGCTTACATGAAAGATACATTGTGTTTACCTATACTGATGTTGGTTATAATTCTCTAGATAAATAGGTAAATTTACCAGTGTCACGTTAGGGTGTGAGGTGAATATATAATTTACCAGAATTCATTTTAATTTTTACTTGTAATATCAGCAATAGTTTTTCATCAAAAGGATGATAGAAGACAAATTTTATTTAGATTGTATGGGGAAGATTTTTACATCTAATAAATAAAACTGCCTAGCAGAACATTTTTACATAGTTTTATTATACTATCAATAGATAATGAAGCCCAGTCTTTGAAATATGGTAGTTTATGTAATTCATTCCAAATAAAATCTTTAAACTAGCATGTATCATGATGTCTTTTCTCCCTGCCCCTACCCTGGGTACATTTTTAAGGTTTATGTTCTTGCTCTATAGTAGCAATTATATTCCATTGTAACTTTGAATAGATGATGGTTTAGAGTCTAACATTTTCCCATTCTTTCAGTCTCGATTTTGAAGAGGGAACAGCTATAATGTATAAATAGTGAGTAAGCTGAGGTATGACTGTTAATTCTATCCTCAGCATAGGATGTTTAGCCCATTTTTTTTCTGTTGAATTCTGGTGGTGCTTATTATAACTTGTAAAAAAAAAAAAAAAAAGAAGAATGAAACAAAGAACAAATAAAAAGAAAACTAAAGATGCTTTCTGCTGTGGTTAGGGAGCAGTGTTAGGTATCTGCCTGAAAGGACTTGAAGGACAGAGATGGTAGTGATGCATTCGTAATAGCATGGAGAGACACTTCCTGCTAGGTGTCTTGTTGAACTTTGAATTCATGACAGTGCATACCTGAAGTAATTTTCCTTCTGGTTATCTGTAATTTATTTATTTACTTAAAATTTGAAGTCAGAAGACTTCAGGTACTTAAAATGTTTTTTTCTTTCTGAAAGAAGGATAATTTAAAAATCATGTCTAGAAGTCTGGGCTGATTAAAACAACTCATATTTTCAGGAATAATCTTACTACTTTACAGTTGTCAGTGTCCTTTAAATTCTCATTACCCTTTGGTCTCAAAACAGAAAAATAACTAGTTGACAATGTTATCTTAGTAATAAAATTTTTTTTTTTTTTTTTGAGACGGAGTCTTGCTCTGTTGCCCAGGCTGGAGTGCAGTGGCACGATCTCGGCTCACTGCAAGCTCTGCCTCCCAGGTTCACGCCATTCTCCTGCCTCAGCCTCCCGAGTAGCTGGACTACAGGCAACTGCCACCACGCCCAACTAATTTTTTGTATTTTTAGTAGAGATGGAGTTTCACCGTTTTAGCCAGGATGGTCTCGATCTCCTGACCTCGTGATCCGCCTGCCTCAGCCTCTCAAAGTGCTGGGATTACAGGCATGAGCCACCATGCCTGGCCAGTAATAAAAATTAAGGGGAGGGGGGTGGAGGAGATTAGGTATTGGAGCACCTTGGCACATTTATTGAGATTCAGTTAGTTTGGATCCTTTCATTCAAATACCAAAATGTGTAAAGAAGTATTGTTGCCTACCAAAGTCAAAGATGTTTAAACTGTCAACATGGGTTCTTAAAAGAGTAAAGACTTTGTGGGCTGTATACCTAGCCCAGTACACTGTTGAGTGAAGAGTGTCTACATACTGTCAGAAACTCTGCCCACAAGCTCATTGTTCTAACTGGTAGATGTTTGTTGTAAACTCCGGAAGGAGAAAGCAAGGTATGTGCTGCCTTCAGGATACAGTTGCTGTGCTGTCCTGTACATTTTCAGTTTTATTTCATTTTTAACAAGTAACTTTATGTACTGGGTATTCAAAGCAGTACGTTTTTAACGTATTAGTGAAACAATTTTCAAGATGAGTGATTAAACTATAGAGAGAAATAATCTTTGTAAAAATTAATCCCTCTTAAATCAGTCAAAATGAATGATTGGAGAGCAGTGTGTTGGGGTTATATTTAGTTGTTGGGTTAAAAATTTTATTAGTGGTCATCTATAGTTGCCTCCTTATTTACAAAGCAGCATGTTTTTACTCAAGCTCAGCAAAATTAAGGCCTAATAAGAGGCAATGTAAGGTGGTGGCTAAAAGCATGGGCCTTTCAGTAGCTCTGTGACCTAGATAACTTTCTTAATCTCTTTGCTGCTTCATTTTTAACATAAGAATAATTGTAAATGTACTTCATAGCCATATTACAAAGATTGAATGACAGTGCATAGAAAGCTCTTAGCTCAAGGCCTGGCACATAATAAATGCTCAGGAGTATTAGCTACTATCACTATTATTGATGTTGCTGCTTTGTAATTAGTTTCAATTTTAAAAAGATCCATGTTTTCCTGAATAGAAAATATCTTTCGAAATGAATAGAAAACATGACATTATTAGGAATTCAATTCTGGTGTTTTCCAATACATTAAGTTTTGCCTTTATATTTTATGTAACAAAGTAATAGCTTTACAAAACACTCTAGGTAATTTTAAGATCACATACTATCTATTGTATCTGGAATTTGCAGAGTAATGAGGATGCCCTTGAAATGGCTTCATACCTCTCCGATTTGCTGGAATATTTTAATATTTTTCTTCTAATCTGTTTCTTGAGAGGCACTATGACCTGGGTTGAAAGCGTGGCTGGATGTTTCCATTTCCAGCGATTTGATTTTGGGCAAGTGGCTTAACTTGTGGGGATTTCGATTTCATTATCTTTAACCTGAGGGTCTGAGGCTAAATGGTTTCTAAGGTTTCTTTCAATTCTAAAAATCTGTTTCCAAAAAATAATTCCTCAGTTTTCCAAGTGGCATAACTCACCCTTATCTATACTAAAGAAATAATACATGACAGTAGATTCATAGCTCATGGCAATATGGCTTTCTAATCTATTGAAGAACATTATGTGGCTGAAGACCTTCAGAAAATTTGTGTCCTTTCATGATATTGTAGAATTGTTTATTTGTGTTTTCTTTTTTGAGAAGAACAGAGTGTGCCCAGGACAGCAAATGTGGTGTTCTGGGTTTATTTAGTGCAGTTGGGAAATTGAAGGAATCACTGCACAGTTGACTCTTTGTACTATTAAATGAGCTAGATTTGATGTCAGAAAAGCCGTAAGCAGTGCACTCCTTGCACTCTTGTTGATAAAAATGTTCCCAGTTATTGATGGGAAGTTTATGGTTTTTAGACAGAAATCATATACCTGCATTTCAGGTCATGCTGTCACAAATTCGTCCTAAAGAGTTAACAGCTATATTGATATTCCATGCCACCTTCTAACTCTATGTGAATGGAACACCAAGCAACTGGAAAATTCCACCATGACTGACTTGTGGGCTCAGCACCTGTTCATCACTGATCAAGTAGGTTTAGACAGCAACACTGAATTGGGTAGAAATTGACTGCCGCACTTTACAGGGATCTTCAGTAGAGATGCTATGTGGAAATGCAAGTAAGTAGGAAACATCTGAGTGAGTTTGCTGAAATGAGGAGAAGCTATAGTAAAAGATTAAAATGTTTGTGCCATATTAGTTCATCATGAGTTAAAAGCTAATCTTGAGGGAGATTGTCAGCTAGCTAATAAGCCTTTTATATACATGTAATATGTTTTGGCAAAAATTAATTCTTTTTTGTTTATTAGAATTTTTTGTTTGTTTTAAAACTAAGAACATTTGGATAGTTTGAATCTAAAGCATAGTAAAGTGATTATTATATCCTACCAGAATTTCTTTTGATGTTGATTTAGACATTTTGCTTTTATATTCAGTAATACTTTATCACAGTTAAAAGATTTTATCTTAATTCTTTTTTTTGAGACGGAGTCTCGCTCTTTCGCCCAGGCTGGAGTGCAGCGGCGCGATCTCGGCTTACTGCAAACTCTGCCTCCTGGGTTCATGCCATTCTCCTGCCTCAGCCTCCCGAGTAGCTGGGACTACAGGTGCCTGCCACCACGCCTGGCTATTTTTTTGTATTTTTAGTAGAGACGGGGTTTCACCGTGTTATCCAGGATGGTCTGGATCTCCTGACCTCGTGATCCACCCGCCTCAGCCTCCCAAAGTACTGGGATTACAGGCCGTGAGCCACCATGCCCGGCCCGATTTCATCTTAATTCTAATCTGTTTTATAGGTTCATTTCAGCTCAGTGTTGATTTTAGCTAGAAACCCAGGTGAATCTCCATTTTCCTGTGAATCTCCATTTTACCATAACAGAGAAGCTGCTTTTTAAACCAGTAATTTCTTCACCTTCCCACCCCCACTTCTATTTATTAAATTTTAAAAATGTAGCCTGATTTGGGTGTATTCTTAAAGAAGTCAAGTGTCCTTTCTCCATTTGGTACACAGTTACTGGTTTTTTGAGTGATATATGTACAAGTCACTTAAACTTCTTAGAGCATAAAGAGAGAAAGTGAAAACTTAATTTGGAGGGCATACTCGTAGACCTTGCCTGACTGTGCTCATGTCCAGGCAGGGGGGACAGTGTATGCAAGAATAATTTGGAGTTCCTGCCAGCTCTAACCAGCTTCATCAGTGGCTGGATAAATTGCAGGACTCTAAACATTTCCCTGAAGAAAAAAAGAAAACTTAATTTGGAAATGGTTCTAATTGAAAAACCTCTACTTAGAGTATGGATTTTGATTTTTAAAAATTAAAAATCAAATATTTTGGGCTGGGCATAGTGGCTCACACCTGTAATCCCAGCACTTTAGGAGGCTAGAGTGGACAGATGACTTGAGGCCAGGAGTTTGAGACCAGCCTGACCAACATAGCGAAACTTCATCTCTACTAAAAAGACAAAAAATTAGCCGTGGTTGCAGGTGCTACTTGGGAGGCTGAGGCCTGAGAATTGCTTGAACCTGGGAGGTGGGGCTTGCAGTAAGCCAAGATCACACCGCTATACTCCAGCCTGGTAAACAGAGCGAGAGTCTGTCTCAAAAAAAAAAAAAAAAAATCGAATATTTCACAGGTGATGCAACTTGATATTGAATACTTGGTTGTTTTTTCATGACAATAGTGGGAAGATAGACAATGTAGTATGAAGGGTGTTTGAGGCAGAAGGAACAAAATGAACAAAGGCATGGAAGAGTGGCTTATTTAGGGACTCATGGAGTAATCTGCTATGACTAAGATTTTTCAGTGTTTGGAAGTCAGGTTGGATCCAGTTATAAAAAACCTTATATATTCTAAGCTAAAAATATTACTAGGGAACCATCTAAGTTTGTTTGCTTGTTTTTTTTTAAAGCAGAGTACAAATTTATGTGATTAGATTACCACCTTGGGAATTCTGCCCTGTGGTAGGATAACTTGAAGGAAGAGAGATGTTTGGTTTGTTTCTTAAACACTGCAAGTGAATGGCTGAGGTACTTCCAGTTGGATATGGTTGGTACATCTGTAGAATGGGATCATGGCAAAATTCTTGCCAGAGTGCAAGATTATGGAACTCCAGCTTATTACTAATAACTTCAGGGGTCTAAAAACTTTTTCTCAAAGAATGGGAAGTAAATATCTTAGGTTTGCAGACATTATGTTCTCTCTTGCCCATGAGAGAACTAACTTATTCTGCCATTACAGCTCTAAATTGGAGATAGGCAATATGTAAATTAGTGTGCATGACTCTATCCCAATAAAACTTTATTTACAAAAACATACGGCCAGCACAGGCCAGTTTGCCAACCCCTCTTTTAAACCTTAGTGAGAAGAGAATCAGAGGCAGCAAGAGGAAAGAGATTTCTCAAAGAACATTAGGGAAGCAGGAAAATAGGGAGGAAATGATGACAATGGAAAGGAGCGGGACGTTAAGGGGTAGAGGAAAACCCTGTGGAGAGATTCTATTTTAAAAGATCCTATAGAAATCTAAACACCGATGTTAAGAAATTACTAAATTTTTTAGGTTGTGATAATGGTATTGTGGTTTTGTTCTTCAAAAGTATTCTTATCTTTTAGAGATCTCTACTGAAATATTTGTGAATGAAATGATAGGGTATCTGGAGTTTGCCTCACAATAATCTATTGGAGTTGTCAGAGGAGAGGAACAGATGAAAAAAATAAATAGGCCTTGAGTTGATTATTGTTCAACACTGGATGATGGATACATAGGGATTTATTGAGTTAATCTCTCTGCTCCTGAATATTCCGTAAAACTTCCATAATAAAAAACTGTTTTAGTAAAAGACTTGGATTTGGGATTTGGGGATTAACCTCAGAGTGAAATCCAAAGAGTAATTGGAGAGGAAGATGGATTGCAGAGAGTGGATGGTTGATGAGAGAAGGAGAAGCAGTTTGTGTTCCAGTGAAAGACGAGGAGGGATATGAAGGGAAAAGAAGGTAGGAGAATCCAGTGGCTTCTCAAGGGAGATACTCAGGGGATGGGAATTTTAGAGGAAGTTCTCAGAGGACACAGAATGGATGGGTTTAAAAGCAGGTATATGGTCATTCTTCACCTTATGGACATTTCGTTTTATCCCCATAGACAAGTATATCCAGAATCATGCAATGAAAGGCAGTTTCTCACAAAGTAAAGAAATACATGATGGATTTATATTAAAACCTGTGTGTCTCTTGGTAGGCATTTGTCACAGTATAGCAAGGGAATACAATTCTCATAGTAAGAATCTCTAGAGATTTATAGAATTCAGCGGGAAACATTAAATTGTGCATTCCCTTCTGCAGGATTATTAGCCATACCTTTAAGCTTCTCCCCTTTTCTTCAAACCATCTTTTCAAACTAAAAGGCATGCCCATTATACAATACTTGGAAACTGTAGGACAGAAGAAAGGAGACTTAATCCCCTGTCTTCCCTGGACACAGCTATAGCCAGTAACAAATTTTACTCTGCTTCTCTAGACTGGGCACTACAGCTAAATAATACACAGTTTCTACCCTTCGTGCACTGAAAGTGTACTGAGGGGAAATGGACTGAGAAGCAAGGACAATAATGTTTCCTAGATTAAATGATACATCTGAATTTCTATATTTTAGTATAGATACTCTAAATAAAATACATCTTTTATGTCTTCTTAATTTTCAAATATATCTAACTAAAATTGGGATCTCTATGTTCTTTCCACTTTAAGCTTTCCTCTATTTGATTTTTTTTCTGCTATCATTAATTAAAAACTAAGCAGAAAATGGGTAAGGGATATAAAATATAAAGTATGTTGTATATTATTTTTAGTAAAATGAAGATTTTATTTTATATGACCTGTGGAAACCTTTTACTTGAAATGTGTCTGGCTATACTAAGTATAGATTAGTTCATTTCTTGCTTTTGTTTTATTTTTGTTCTCAAGTTGAGTGACAACTGAGAGTAGTATCAATACCTGTACCTCCCATGGATCAACAGGTACACTCTGTTCTCCCTAATCTGAATTCAGCCAATAATTTGTCATGTTATTTGTGTTTTGTTCTTTTGTTTAAAGGTTACTGAAGAGGTTCTCATTGTACAGAGTATAACTACATGATGTATTCTAGAGCTAGATTGAAAAGCAATCTGTAATTAGCCAACAGATAATTAGCACTTTCAGGATACCACTTTTATCTTATAATTATTTACTCTTAAAATGAGCTAAGTTATCTTCTGTAGTTCACCTGGCATGTGTTCTACTGGTGCATGCACTCATGCTCTCTTTTTAAGTAAGAGATCATCAGTTTTAAGAACACAGAAGTACCAGTAAACTTTCTACCAAGAATGGCCAGTGTAACATGTTCATTTAGATTAGTGTTGCCAGTCTCTCTGTCTCCTTTTCTCTTTGAAGTGTTGTTTGCCAAATGATATGGTAAGTTCAAATTACTCTTTAGGTATTTCCTTTTCATTTTTAAATTGCCAAGCACTGTACTTTCCAATTAGGTTCTAAAATTCAATGTTAAGTGGAAACATTTGTTAAATTTCTAAAGCATAAAATATTTGATTATTCTCTTCTTAGATGTTAGTTTACATAATTAATAGTGGGTTTTTATTTAATATGTGTTATGTTTTAGCTCTTTGATCAGGTATACACATTATCTTGAGTTTTCACATCCAAAAAATTATATACACACTGTTCACAGGCTTAATGTGAAGAATGTGATGTAAGCTATGTTTAAATTATTCTTATAAAAGTGACTTTTGACCTATGATTTGATAGTATTCAGCTGTTAAGTCATACATGTAATGTATCATTTTTGTTTTTAAGTTTGAGGTCTCACTATGTTGGCCAGGCTGGCCTCCCCTGACCTCAAGCAGCCCTCCCACCTCAACTTCCCAAAGTGCTGGGATTACAGGCATGTGCCACCAGACCCAGCCTTATCCTTATTTTTAGAGTGGATTTTTGATGTATTGAAAACAAACTGTATTATTCACATAGGCTTTCTTCAATCCATTGCTAATTGTTTGCTGAATGCATAGCAAAGTCCTTGTGGAAATAAGTTTGTTTTTATAATCTTTTTCTTTTTGTCCTCTTTGTAAATGGCCTGAACAGTACACTATATAATAATAGCTAACGTTGGTGGGGTTAGGGAACACTCTGTTAAAAATATGTTGATGTATTATCTAGTAAAAGGTGAGAAAAATCTTCATTTTAAGAGTAAAAATATGTCACATGCCTGGCATGGTGGCTCACACCTGTAATCCCAACACTTTGGGAGGCCCAGGTGGGAGGATCACTCAAGGCTAGAAGTTCGAGACCAGCCTAAGCAACAAAGCAAGATCCCTCTCTCTACCAAAAAAAATTAAAAATTAGCTGAGTGTGGTGGCATGCACCTGTAGTCTGTAGTCCTAGCTACTCATGAGGTTGAGACAGGAGGATTGCTTGAGCCCAGGAGTTTAAGACTGCAGTGAGTTATCACTGTACCACTGCACTCCAGCGTGGTTGGCAGAGTAAGACCCTGTCTCTTTAAAAAAAAAAAAAAAAAAAAATTAAAAAGTCTAGTACAGTCTGAGAATTTTTTCCAGTCTTTTTATTGTGTCATTTATACTGATATAATCAAAGACAAATTTTATTTCTAATTGACACATTGCAGTTGTATTTATGGGGTACAAGTTGATGTTTTAATATGTGTGTATATTGTATAATGATCAAATTAGGGTAGTTACGGTACCTGTTACTTCATGCATTTATCATTTTTTTGTGGCAAGAGCATTCAAAACCATTCCTAGCTGTTTTGTAATATATAATAATTTACTGTTAACCATAGATACCCTAGTGTACCATAGAACACCAGAACTTATTCCTTCTATCTACCTATTAACCAACCTCTCCCCATCCTCCTCATTCCCATCCCCATCCTCTCCCCAGTCTCTGGGTAATCACTGTTGCACTCTCTACTTCTATGATAGCAACATTTTTTAGATTCCACATGTAAGTGAGATCATACATTATTTGTCTTTCTGTGTCTGGTATATTTCACTTAACATAATGTCCTCCAGTTTCATTAATGTTGTTGCAGATGGCAGGATTTTATTTTTTATGACAGAATCATATTCCATGTGTATATGTGCCACATTTCCTTTATTTTGTCTGTTATTGGACACTTAGGTTGATTCTGTATCTTGGCTATTGTGAATGGTGCTCAATAAATACAAGATATCTCTTCAACATGTTGATTTCATGTCCTTTGGATATCTACCCCATAGTGGGATTGCTGGATCATATGGTCGTCATATTTTTAATGTTTTGAGGGATGCTTCCATACTGTTTTCCATAGTGGCTATACTAATTTATATCCCCACTAACAGTGTATGTGTTCTCTTATCCACGTTCTCACCAACGCTTGTTTTCTTTTGTCTTTTTGACAGTAGCCATTCTAACTGGAATGAGATGGTATCTCATTGTGGTTTTGATTTGCATTTCCCTGATAATTAGTGGTTTTGAACATTTTTCATATACTTGGCCATTTCTTTGTCTCTTTTTGAGAAATGTGTTAAGATATTTTGCTCATTTTTTAATTGGATTACTTGGGGTTTTTTTTTAGTTGTTTGAGTTCCTTTGCAGTTATTTTAGGTTTTTTTGCAGTTCTTTTAGTATATATTTTAGATATCTCTTGTCAGATGTAGTTTGCAGATGTTTTCTCCCATTCTGTAGGTTGTCTCTTTGCTTTGTTTCTTTTGCTGTGCAAAAAGCTTTTGAGTTTGATGTAATGTGTCTTTTCTTTTGTTGCCTGTGCTTTTGAGGTCTCATTTAAAAATACTTGCCCAGCCCAGTATTATGAAGCATTTCCCCTACATTTTCTTCTAGTAGTTTCATACTTTTTTTTTTTCATTAAGTCTTTAATCCATTTTGAATTGATTTTTGCATATGGTGAGAGAGAGGGGTCTAACCTCATTACATGTGGGTATTCAAGTTTTCCAGCACCATTTATAGAAGAGACTGTGTTTCCCCAGTGTGTGGTATTGCCACCTTTGTCAAAAATCAATTGCCCGTGATGTGTGAATTTCTGGGCTCTCTGTTCTGTTCCGTTGTTCTGTGTGTCTGTTTTTATGCCAGTAGCATGCTGTTTTGGCTCCTATAGCTTTGTGTAGTATGTTTTGAAGTCAAGTAGTATGATGTCTCCAGCTTTTTTATTCTTACTCAGGATTGCTTTGGCTATTCAGTGTCTTTTGTGGTTCCATATGAATTCTAGGATTATTTTTTCTATTTCTGTGAAGAGTGTCATTGGTATTTTGATAGAGGTTGCATTAAATCTGTAGACCACTTTGTATAGTATGGCCGTTTTAGCAGTTCTTCCAGTTCATGAACAGCAGATAGCTTTCCATTTACCCACATCCTCTGCAGTTTCTTTCATCAATGTTTTATCATTTTCAGTGTAGAAATCTTTCACTTCCATTATTAAGTTTATTCCTGGGTATTTATTTTTTCGTAGCTATTGGAAATGGAATTGTTTTCTTGATTTTTTTTTCAGATAGTTCACTATTAGTATTTAGAAACACTACCAATTTGTATATGTTAATTTTATATCCTGCAACTTTACTGAATTTATTCTAACACTTTTTTGGTGGAGTCTAGGATTTCCTATATATGATATATCATCTGCAAATGGGACAACTTCTTCCTTTACAATTTGGATACCTTTTATTTCTTTCTCTTGCCTAATAGCTCTAAGACTTCTAGCACTGTGTTGAATGGAAGTGGTGAAATTGGGCATACTTGTCTTGTTCCTGATCTTAGGGGAATAGCTGAAAGCATAACATCAGTATGTTTGTCATATATGGCCTTTGTTGTTTCAAGCTGCATACTTTCTATACCTAATTTAGTGAGCATTTCAGAAACAAACTTTAATAATTCTTTAGCTTTAGTGTTGTTTGCTTTCTACCTGGATCATGGGGTTAACAGAATTTGAAAATAGAGTGATTTCATTTTAAAAGGAGATTTTAGATTAGTAAGAAATTGTTACTCTCTGATTTTATTTCTCCATTTGTTTCTTCTCAACCCTGAGATGAAGATCCTTCTGATATCTTCTAAGATAAAATTTGTTCAGCATTTAGAGCATTATTTTTTTCTATTTAGTCCTCTATTGTACTAGTACCTATTGCTGCCTAACACATTATCCTAAAACTTAATAGCTTAAAATAACAAACATTTATTACCTCAGTTTCTGTGCTCAGAAATCCCATTGTAACTTACCTGGATGCCTCTGACTTGGGGTCTCTCCCAAAGCTGCAGTCAAGCATCAGCCAGGGCTGTAGTCATGTCAAGGTTCTAATTGGGGAGAATCTGCCTCCATACCTACTAATAGTCCATTGGCAGACCTCAGGTCCTTCGTTAATAGCTGGAGACATCCTTGCAGCATGTCTCTCCATAGGACAGTTTACACTAGCTGTGGAAGTTGGCTTCCTTCAGAGCCTGGCAAGCAAGAGAGTACCAAGATGGAAGCTACAGTCTCTTTGTAACCAAATCTCAGAAGTGACATCTCATCACTCTTGCCATATTTTATTTATTAGAAGCAAGGGACTAGGTTCACCCAGACTCAAGGGGAGGGAATTAAACAGGAGCATGAGTACCAGGAGGTGGTGATCTTTGGGTTCCATCTTAATGGCTGCTTGCCATATCTGCTATAAGTACTTTGAAACTTCTAGAGCTTTTCCATTTTTACTGTGTCATCTTCACAGAATTAGGATGATAAAACTCCTGTTCAGATAAAATTCCCTGTGCTTAGCTTGCTGGTGTCTCACAATCTTGAATTAATCATTTTATATAGAATTAGACTCCAGGAAGGGGTGCAGACCAAGACAGAGATAAAGGAATATTTATTTGCAGTTTTAGTTGTATAGCCTTTTCTAGTTATTTAAATAAGAAGCTTTGTTAAAACTCTAACAAGAATGTGTACAGTTGGTACTAGAAAGTGTACAATTGGGAATGGTCTATGCTCTTTTCATTATGTAAATTCTAACGTTTGTTTTGTTCAGTATTGGTAAAGGTTTTCAAGGTGTCATGAAAAGATGGGGATTTAAAGGCCAGCCTGCTACGCATGGTCAAACGAAAACCCACAGGAGACCTGGAGCTGTTGCAACTGGTGTGAGTATAACTAGTGAAGCTCTTTTTAATGCTAAATATTCAACTTCTGCACATGTAGTCCTCAGTCCGTCCTTGATATGAAGTCACATAATTTTAGTCTGACACAAGGGGACTCCATGTACTTGTCACCCTTTTATGGATCCTTGCCCCTCACTCATTTCCCAGAGCCAGACTAGAATTAGTTATATTCCACAAGGTTAGCTGAGCATCTGTAGTTTGGCTGTATATACCCTGAGTCTAAATTTAAAATGTACTTTGTGCAAATGTTGAATTCAGTTTGTCTTTTGAATTAGTATCAGTTAACAATTCTGAAATAATTTTCTGTGAATTGTAGGATTGAGTAGATAAGTAAATGTATTGATAATGGAGCTAGGTTTCTCACTGTTGGAAAAGGGCGTTAAAGTATGAAAATGGGAAAATTAAAATGAACCCTATAGTGTTGAATTCAAACTATAAGTATGCATATACTGTTTGGTGGGGGAGGGGAATGCATGCATGCACACAAGGAAAAAATGTAGCACACAGAGAAACAGAGGGGTGTGTGTGTGTGTGTCTTAGTTCTGTCTACTGGAACATTGTAGTCATATATAACGGAATATATTTGTAGAATGAATAAGAGTGATACTTAGTCTGTAATACTCAGAATTGTCTTTTAAGCCTGTTGGTTACATATTAAACATATCTAATGCCATGATGAGGTACTTCCACTGAGAGTTTCACCTGTTAATGTGAGAGCAGCTGATGGAAAAGTGTTTATATTGTGAGAATTCATGTGTTATAAGAAGCTGTTCCATTTTAGTCATAATTCAGATTTGCTTCTTTAGATGTAGAACTATTACCCGTTATCAGAGCCAAAATCAGAGACTGTTAGATTTATGTAAATCAGAGAAAACCAGGGCTAGACAAACTAGTATTCTGATAACTAACTCTGTCCTTGAATAATTTTGGTCAAGGAAAGTAACATCTAAAGCAAGGAGCAGTAGGACCATTCCAGCACCAGTGGTATGGATGAAGTCCATTAAGTCAGTTAATACAGAAGATGAGTTCAAAACAGGCCTGGCAGTCCATTTTTTTTCTTTGAATGATGGTGTCGGTGTGTCTGTATGCCCTTGTCCTTTTTTAATTCTTAGCCAGTATTAGGTCCGTTGTTGCTGAGTTTTTCTCCTAAATCTGCTTCTTAGTCTGTATTTATTTTATCATTCTAGTCTCATTAGAAAGGAAATCCTCTAGGAGTAAATATGCCTAAATCCATATTTAGTTCCTTACTTGGGACCTAGCAGAATAGGGGAAAAATAAAACATTTTAATAATTTATATTTTTAGTTTACATTGTGGTTTGATCAGTGCTGTTTAAAATTGATAGTACTTAAAAGTGTTAACTTTAGTTTTCTCATTTAGGATATTGGCAGAGTCTGGCCTGGAACTAAAATGCCTGGAAAAATGGGAAACATATACAGGACAGAATATGGACTGAAAGTAAGTGTTACAAGTGGTTCTTTTTAGGAACAGCTAAATTGTCTAAATGCAAAGGCAGCAGAATATGTATTTAATCTGTGTCTGTACCATTGTTCTAAGAGGCTTTAAAATTATTGAGGAAAAGAGGATACATGAATTGTGTGTGTGTGTGTGTGTGTGTGTACACTCTAGTTGTAGTAATGGTGGTAGTAATGATAGGGTATATTTCAGGCCATGAAAAGTGCAGTCATTAAAGAGACAAAATTAGTAGTCCACTCTTGGACCTGGAAGATTTTTACAAGATATTGTTGCATGAAAAAAGTAAGATTCAGAGCATTCAGTATAATACTCTTTATTGAGTAAAAGATTTAACAAAAGCTCTCTACGTGTGTATGTTGCTGTGCCATCATATAATCACAGAAGAGTGGAAGGGTATATACCAGGTTCTTGGATTATATATCAAATGTGTGTGTGTGTGTGTGCGTGTGTGTGTGTAAGTGTAAGGAGGAGAGTGGGAGGCAATCAAAATAGGAGGAAACAATAGCACTACAAAAGGATTATGATATACATCCGTTTTTATAAAAAATGTCTGTGTATATTTAAAAGAGAAGTTGAATTCAATCTCTACCAATGAGAAATGTACCTAAGTAAAACTGAGTTATACTATAATGGATGCTGTATAATTATATTTCTGTTAAACAACTAATGTTTATATTTGTTTGCATGTATGTTTTAAAGTGTAGGAAGTACAAAGAAGAAAATAAGCCACCAATAAGAACAATACCCAAAGACAATCACTGGAAACATTTTGGTGCATATCCTCCCAGTCTCTATTCTGCATACCTTTTATATATAAATTTTGACCAGGAGAAGTTTTCAAATTTTATATAATTAAACCTAAGATTTTTTTTACCCCTTCTATTACATTTATACTTATCAGAGACCATCTATTTGCTGTATTTTCTTCGTGTGTGTGATTTCAATTTTTGTAATATTTAATACTTATTCATTATTAGATAGGAGCCATGGGTCAAACTTGATTCCTTATCCAAATATTTTATTTTCTCAGTACCATTTTTTGACCAATCATTCTCTCCCATTTATGTACGTTTTTTCTCCACATGAAGATTTTTTGAGGACCATCTACTCAGCCCACTTACTTTAGAAATTAGAATCAGTGAGGTTGTGGCTTCTCCAGCCTCTAGTTACAGCAAGCTAGTATTAACTAAAAATAAAATAAAATTGAATTTCCACTTGTTATTGTTAATGGTGCCAACAGAGTCCTTTGAAATATCCAAATAGTCTTGATCATTCAGTCACATCTCTATTTAAAATGAGAGTTTTCTACTACTTCCATAAGATATATTTGCTATGGTCTTCTATTACAAGTCATCCATAGGACTTGAAGTTTTTCAGTTCTTATTCAACATTCTGAAGTACTGGTAATAATCTTTTATTACTTTACAAGCAACTTACATCCTCAGCTTTTAGTAACATTGTTTTAATACAAGTATATCCTAAAATTTTTGGTTTTATTTCATGCTTTAGGTGTGGAGAATAAACACAAAGCACAACATAATCTATGTAAATGGCTCTGTACCTGGACATAAAAATTGCTTAGTAAAGGTAAGTATAAGTGTCTTCTTTTTTTTTCCTTTTTTTTTTTTGTTTCTTACTCGCAAGCTAACAAATTACTATCTTTATTTTCTATTGTTTATATATGTGGATATTTGCCATAAAGTCTCCTTTTTCTCATATATGTGGCTTATAAATAAATGGCTGTTTTTCCACATGTTCTCTCCTGAATCTTTCTGCTTTTTAGTAGCACCTGAGTGAAAAAAATGCACAAGATAACCTGTATTCTATTTCTTTCAAACCAAGAACCTGTAAAAAGGGTAAGGCTGTGTATTAGTCCATCCTAATAGAATGGATGGACTCCTATAAAGAAATACCTAAGATTGGGTAATTTATAAATAAAAGAGGTTTAATTGGCTCGTGGTTCCACAGGCTGTTCAGGAAGCATGGCTAGGGAGGCCTCAGGAAACTTACAATCATGGCAAAAGGGGAAGGAGAGATGGACATGTCTTACATGGCTGGAGCAGGAGGAAGAGAGGGAAGGGGGAGGTGCTACACATTTTTAAACAAGATCTTGTGAGAACTCACTATCACGAGAACAGCAAGGGGGAAGTCTGCCCCCATGATCCAATCACTTCCCACCAGGCCCCTCTTCTAACATTGGGGATTACAATTTGACATGAGATTTGGGCGGGGACAAAAATCCAAACCATATCAGGCCAGTAAGCAGAAAGATCTTCAGGAATATGAGAAGGATATTTGGAAAACTATTGCCAAAATACCAGTATATCTCTGTCCTTCCAAAAGGAACATGTTAGCTTTTTAAAGTGCCCCATCTACAAATGAATGGATAAAGAAGATGTGGTGGGTGTGTGTGTGTGTGTGTATGTGTGTGTGTGTGCGCGCGTATGGCTGAAGAATATTCTAGAGAATGCACACACACGCTAGAATAATCTTCAGCCATAAACAGAATGAATTGCTATTGTTTGTGGTGACATGGATAAACCTGGAGGACATTATGTTAAGTGTAATAAGCTAGGCACAGAAAGACAAATATTGCATGATCTCACTTTTATGTAGAATCTAAAAGTTGATTTCATAGAAGTAGAGAACAGAATGGTTTTACCAGAGGCTGGGGGAAAATAGTGGGGAGGAGAGCTGGCGGAGGTGGTCTACAAGCACAGAGTTAGTTAGGAAGAATACATTCCGGTATTCTGTTATATAGTAGGGTGACTGACTATAGCTAATAGTAAGGTATATTTCAATATAGGTAGAAGAGAGGATTTTGAATGTTATCACCATAAAAGAAATGATACATGTTTAAAGTAATGGATATGCTAGTTATCCTGATTTTATCATTATACAATGTATATTTATTGAGACATCACACCATACATATATATGTACAATTATGTGTCAATTATAAGTAAACCCTGCCCCCACCCCCCCCCAAAAAAAATGCTTTTTGGCTTTTAAAAGAGTTACTTTGACAAACCAGAAATACATGAGGTAAAAATTGGAATCATCAAAAGTGGTTAAAGGTAGACATTTGAGGGGGAGCTTTTTTATTATTACTAACACCATGCTCTGATTATATCTTTTAAGTGTTTTTCTTAAAAAAAAGAAAAAAGTAAAAAATTTGTACCGATAGCTCAGATACATTTTAATAAAAACTCTTTAAGTTCTCAGAGACTTACTTCCATAAAATAGAAAATAAATATTCTGCCTGGGGTTTATTCCAACCTAATACAAATTTTCTTACCTCTGAGTTTTGAATCTTCCATGCTGAAAATAAGTTTGTATTAGAAGTTATGTCAGCTGTTCTCCAGAGTATACTCTTCATTGATTTTCCAATGATAGCAGCAAAGAAATAGTGAAACTTAATCCTCTGATTTTTTAAACTCAGTGTTTCCTTATATATTTTTTTTCATTTCTAGGTTCCATTACTAGCATAGGGAATAATTTTTTGAAATCTTGCAAGGAATAAGAATTTTGCTTTTTAAAATTACCTTTCTGAGACACTTCACTTACTGACTGGATTATTCTCATTTTTGTTAAAGAAAAAAATGCATTTAAGCCAGGCCTGGTGGCTTGCATCTGTAATTCCAGCTACTCAGGAGGCTGAAGTGGGAGGATAGGATCACGTGGCCTCAGGAGTTGGAGGCTGCAGTGAGCTGTGATCACACTATTGCCTTCTAGCCTGGGCAACAGAGTGGGACCTTGCTTAAAAAAACAAAAAAAAAAAAAAAAGAGAGAAAAAGAAAAATGTATTTGATGAATTTTTGTAAGTTTTGTTTTTTCCTTAAGTTTGCAGGTTTTTAAGTTTAAGTAGGTTTCTAGTCCCCAAGTAAGGCAGTCATACTTACAATGACAGATAGTTGAAGCCAGAGTATTGTCATTGTACTTCCCGTGGTATTTTGTCTTCATAATTCATGTGAAGACATATCTTCATATCCCTAGCCCCACATTTCAGATCACAGGTTATAAATAGCACAACCTGATAAAGGAGAAGGATTATTTTTTATAATAAAAGTATACTGGACACCAGATTAATTTTTAAATGTCAAATCCTCCTTTTCTGCCTATTTTTCTACATACATGATTCTAGGCTGGTTTTCTAGCTGAACCTTACCATTAATTGCTGTGACTTCTCAAGTACTACTACAACATCTTCTCAAGTACTTCTACAATATCCCTGTTACCAGCAGAGATGAATGGTCAATTATCTTGAAAAACTGTAGTACATACAATGACATTCTGATGTAGTTGTATAAATAGTTGATAACCAGTAACATTTATTACTCAGATTTATCGCCTACTTCAGTAAAAGATTACTTCCAAAAACTCTATTCACTCTCAATCGATAATAGTTTGCCATCACTGAAGATACTCAGAAGATACACCAAAGAGTTCTGAAACGGGAGTCTAAATACATTTTGAGAAACTGGCATCAGAACAATGTCTAGTCCCTTTTGAACTATTAACACACTAGTGAATATATTTCCAGCAAGTATATTTGTATAATAAACACGTCCTTTAAAAAAATCTTTGAAATATGGTGCTTAAATAACTTTCTTTTGTAACCTTAAAGTATCTGCCCAGGCATTAATTAAGGTATGAATTTGGGGAACATTTTATAGGTTTGTGTTTTAAATGGTAAAACTTGCTATGTCCTTTCACTCCATTATTTACGTTCTTCCAGTGACTCCGTAGCAGGTAAATTAGTCCTTCCTTGCCTATGGGTTTTGAGCCACTTCCTAGTGGGCAGCCAACTTTGTTAACATCCACTCACTTCTTGGGAGCTTTTGTTTCCTCAGAGTACAGGGTTACCAATAACTTTTTTTTAAGATTCCAAAGTTAGTAAAGATAGTCTTAGAGATGACCAACCTATTTAATTGGCATTAGCTTTTTGTTTTGCTGTTTGGATTCACTAAATGTATTAATGAAGACTAAAGAACTATTGTTTACAGCATAATAAGTATAAATGTATGTTCTAAAGTACGGTTCATTCGTGTTCATTCCTGTGTCCTATATATCATTTATTTTCAGATTTGCCTGGCTTTTGTCTGTCCTTCCCCCACATTTTCTTAAAAGATTTAGACTGGTTTGCTGATAGACATAAAAAGAATGAGGTAGATAATTGAGGGAGTCTTGGTGCAGGCAGGGAAATAATAAACCTGAGGTAAGATTAAATACACAAAAATACATATGGGCTGCAGACCTTTGGCCCTCAACTTTTGCACCACTAAGACAAAAATGGTTGAGATGTCATTTACGTTTCAGATCCATGAATTATAATACTTAGATTTTACAAACAGTGATTCCGTCGTCTAAAATATTTCTCAGGTATAATAGTTCTATAAAAGTGTGAAAGCAACTGAGAGTTATCTCTTTGGGTCATTGATGACTAAATTTTTATTTCTCAAATTAGCACAGAAAGTTTTGTTGTGATTGGTTTTATTGTTTTTTTTGCTTGGGTTTTATTTTCAATCCTAAATACTGAGCAAGTTTAAATTGGTAAGAATATGACTTTTTCCCTTCTTAAAGTTCAACCTAAGATTAATGGATTGGGGGGACAAAACTAAACAAGTTTACTTTCTTCTGGGTAATTTACTGATAATTTCTTGAAACAATTTTAATAAGAGGGATTAAAGTAGATCTGTTTTTCTGTACTAAGCTGTTCCTAGCAGCTGTGTACTTTATTTCAACCAAATTATTCATTTCTTATTGCTAAAGTAATTATGCCTCATTTTACTCGTGTATATAATTACATGTAATTTTTTTAAAAACTTTACTTATGAATGAAGGCTGTAGAATGAGTCAGAAGTTCTGAAGAATCCAATAATGTTTTCCAAAAATAAAACTCAACATTTTAGATCACATCAGTACCTATATTAAAATTCTTCAGTCTGTGAATTCACAGATATAATTAGAATTTTTGAGAATATATAGAGTTAACAGAGCTCTTATAAAGACCCATAGGTCTGTTATTGTTTTTGCTAAATATTATTCTGTCTTTAACTTATCAATAAGAATGTATGCTCTGACATACATTGTGCTGCATTTGTTGTATATGAAGATAGGATTGGTTCTTGTTGCTCACACCTATAAGCAGAAAAATGCACTAAGGCCATGGAAGTATTCAGTGCTAAATCAAGAATGATATAAAATAGTCTCAACTTAAAGGCCCTTACCCAAATTTGAAAATGCTGAAGAATTAACTTTAAATTTTCCGTCAATACAGGACTTTTTTTTTTTTTTGACCATGTGACATAGAAATACAATCTTGTTTGTTTTATTTGTTGGAGAAATGACTCTTTTGGTAGGGGAAGAAAAATGTAAGCTGATTTCCTTAATAAGAGGTGATATTTTTGATTATGTGCTCTTAGAGTTAAGACTAACAAAAATGCTAGTTTGTCAGGTCATTATATTTGAAAATGAATCCATATAAATGAAATTCAAGTAGTAATTTTAGAATGTGATTTCATCCTGTGGGCAATCCTAGAGATTCTTACAAGTTAAGATACAAAGTAACAATTGGTGATTTTATCCTTATAGCTTCTTGAGTTTCTGTTACTGGATTAGTCAAATTTTTTAGAATTAAAGGAAAGCATTGACTGAGTTCTTTTTACTCTATTTATGTAACAGTTGTGTTATTCACATTAGAAAATGTAGTAGCGAGTATTTCTTTGATTATGAATAATAGCTGAAAAGTCTACCTTTAAAGAACTTAATTGGTTTCACTAAGATTTTTGCCTTCTCTCAGGTCAAAGATTCTAAACTGCCTGCATATAAGGATCTCGGTAAAAATCTACCATTCCCTACATATTTTCCTGATGGAGATGAAGAGGAACTGCCAGAAGATTTGTATGATGAAAACGTGTGTCAGCCCGGTGCGCCTTCTATTACATTTGCCTAACATCTTTGGACGTGGCAGAACCTTACATATTCTGTGAGCTTCGATGAGCCAGAGTGATATCATAACCACCAGAAATCATACTCTCCTTTCTTAGTCACAACAAAATCACACATGTCATCTTTGTCAAGGGCATAAATATATCATTCATACCCCCATTAAATTTTGTTAGAAAAATTACCACATTAAATATATGAGTTAAGTAGATTGGATTTGCTGAAATTGGTGTTGGGCATATTAGCAAAATATTCTTAATTTGTGGACTCGATTCTTTTTTACTACATATTTCCCAAGTTATCTTAAGATGTCTGTAAATTTAACTTTTATTAAAGTTTTGTCAATCTTTGTGAAATAGTGGTTGTGGAACAGTAGAAAACCATATGGGGACTATAGTGCAACCTATTTGGGTAAAGAAACCATTTGCTAAAATGGAGAAAGTAAATAGATTTTTATTTAAATTACAGAAACATGTTAAAGGCCGGACAAAGGAAAGACAATAAAATCATAAATTATCGGTCCTGTTTACATTTTTGTTGGGAGAGGTGATTACTTTTTAGTTTTATCACTCAATTATAAGATCAGTGTGTTTTGGTTTTGTTTTGTTTTGTTCTGTTTAGGCAGGGTTTTGCTGTGTTGCCCAGGCTGGAGTGCAGTGCAGTGGTGCGATCTTGGCTCACTGCAGCCACGACCTTCTGAGCTCAAGTGATCCTTCCACCTCAGCCTCCCATGTATCTGGGACTATAGGTGCCCACCACCATGCCTGGCTAATATTTGTATTTTTTTGTAAAAATAGAATCCCACTATGTTGCCCAGGGTGGTCTTGAACTTCTGAGTTCAAGCTTTTTACCTTCCATGGCCTCCCAAAGTGTCAGGATTACAGGCGTGAGCCACTGCACCCAGTCTACCTTTCAAAAAGAATTTATAATGATCTAAGATTGTATGTTCAGCAAACTTTTATTAATCATGTATTAATCAAAATGCTAATGGTTTGTGGGTTTCTTTTTAATTGTATGAAATTAACATGTATTTACTAATGGCTAGTCATGACAAATAAGCTTAACCATGTGTATAAGCAGACCTCAGTTTAAATACTTGATTTCCTCTGAACCAGATTCTTAATTCACATCACCCAATACGTTTGTTAGTCATAGTGTTAGATTTCCATGTGCTATACTGTCCTGGTTATATCACGTTTTTCACTTCAAATCCAAAGGTAGCCACGTTTTTTTAAAGTTTTTATTTATACTTTATCTTATTCCATTAAAAATGTATGGCAATTGATAGGAAATCCACTCAATAAAATAGAAAAATAAGAGAAAAATATTTAGGATAATATAAATTAGAATAGGTGGTATTTTGGGGGAGGGAATAGTGTCAATGTCATATAGATGAGCAGGCTATGCTGTGCAGAGTTGTTATATTCAGATAGTTTGGTTTTGAGCTTCCTGGGTGCTAAAGTAAAACATAACATTATTTTTTATGTACTGTTCATTATTCATGAGTTTGATTAGTGATAATAATAGAGTGTCATAGTCTTTAACTGGAGTAGATTACATTTAAAACCACCACACCATATTTGGTTAAAAAAAAATATCAAACTAGAAATTTGTTAACTTGTTAAAAGTTTATCTCTAGTAATCATCATATACAAGGGTAAAATGCTAGAAGAATTCTTTTCAGGGATCAAACAAGGATACCCTCTACAACTTCTCTTCAACAGTATTCTTGGGTGTCCTAGCCAGTGCAGTAAGACAAGTAAAAGTAATGAGATAAATTGGAAAGTAGGAGCAAATCTCATTATTTGTAAGAAATATTTACCTAGAAGATGAAAGGTAGACAACTGACAAGCTATCAGAACCAATAGAGTTGAAAAAGGTAACAGTACAAGATTAATACACTAACATATAGCAATATTTTATGGGAAAAATGGATATTTATTTATAATAGCAATTAAAAATCACCTAGGGAAAGCCTAACAAGAAATATGCTAGAGTCTTATGTTCTTTTTTGAAAGATAGATAAGAAAACTTCAATAATGGAGCAGAATATCATGGCCATGAATGGGAAGGTTATATTGTAAAGAATTCATTTGAATCCTGTTTTAAAACTCTCAATAGGACTTAGAGCTAGTCAAACTGATTCTAAAATTCATGTGAAAGTGTAAATTCAAGAATAGCCACTACTTAAAATGGTACACATTAGATATGCCCCCATACTATGCTTAGGAACTTATACGGACATACCTTAGAGATATTGTGGGTTTGGTTTCAGACCACGGCAATAAAGCAAATATCACAATAAAGCAAATCACAGAATTTTTAGTTTCCTGATGCATATAGAAGTTATACTGTACTGTAGTCTATAGTGTGTTTCAATAGCATTGTATCTTTAAAAATATACATACCTTAATTTTAAAATATTGTCAGAAAATGCCAAAGATCTTCTGAGCCCTTAGCAAGTTGTAATCTTTTTAGTGGTAGAGGGTCTTGCCTCAAAGTTGATGGCTGCTGACTGATCAGGGTGGTAGTTTCTGGAAGGTTGGGTGGCTGTGGCAGTTTCTTAGCATAAGGCAATGGACTTTGCCACTTGATTGACTCTTCCTTTCACAAAAGATTTCCCTGTAGCATGGAATGCTGCTTGATAGCATTTTGCCCACAGTAGAACTTCTTTCAGAGTTTGAGTCAATCCTCTCATACCCTGCTACTGCCTTACAACTAAATTTATGGAATTTTCTAAATCTTTGTTGTCATTTCAACAGTGTTCACAGCATCTCCACCATAAGTAGATCCAATCTCAAGAAACCTCTTTCTTTACTCATCCATAAGAAGAAACCACTTTTACTCATCCATAAGAAGCACCTCCTTATCTGTTCAAGTTTTAGCATGAGATGGCAGCAATTCAGTCACATCTTCAGGCTCCACTTCTGCAGTTCATTCCTCCACTGGAGCCTTGAACCCCTCAGAGCCACTCATGAGAGTTGGAATCAACTTCCAAACACCTGTTAATGTTGATATTTTTACTTTCTCCCATGAATCATGAATGTTCTTAATGGCATCTAAAATGGTGAATCCTTTCCTGAAGGATTATGGCAACTTCATATATTAAGGACTATGGCAACTGTAACCTTACAAAACATATTTCTTAAATAATTAGAGTTTGAAAGTCACAATTACACGTTTATGCATGGACTACAGAATAGATGTGTTAGGCATGGAAACAACATTATTCTTGTACATCTTCATCAGAGCTCTTGACTAACTTAGGTGCATTGTCAGTGAGCTGTTATCTTGCGAGACAAATGGACAGTTATTTCTGGGAGAACATAAAATCTTTTACCTGCATTATTTGTGAAAAAGGAATCAGTATATGAAGGTAGCCAGTTGCCCAGACATAAGATTTTTTGACGAAGGCAGGCAACCTTCTGCACTTAAAGAGCCTGCCCCAAACTTACCATCTTCTTTCACTATAGTCGGTGGTCTGTGGATCTGTTTTTGAGTTTTAAAATAGCATTTCTGATCACCTTCCAGGATTACAAGTATGATCCCTGTCTTCTAGAATCAGGGAACAAAACTTTCACTCTCACCCCCCAACCCCAACCAGTCCCCACTGCCAGCAGCTTCTACAGGTACATATCCTTTGAAGAGGATCCAGACTCCATTCTGGCAAACTGAGTGGCCCAGACGAACTGTGTCCTTCTCTCCAGTTGTGGAATACCTAAACCAGTCTGCCTAGTCCAACACTACAAAATGTGATTTCCCAAGAACCTTAGGGTTACTATTTCTGGCTACAGCACAAACATTTTGCCTCAGCATCTGTCCTCAAATGTTCAGCTCGGAAATGGAAGTCTGCCTACTATAGATAGGGAGTACATGGTCCCAGTACTCTCCTGCTCAACTCTCTGGATCCCAGGCAGTACTAGAAGTCTGCTCTTGAGCAGTGCTGACCACTGGACAGATACGGTGGCAATTCACTTCTCAGCAGTGGAGCTGTCTTGGGCCTGAGTTGAGCTTGAGTTTGATTTACTGTTTTAGATTTTGTCTTGAAATGGAGAACCTTTTTGTAATTAAACTTCATTCAAATTAGACATTTGTTCCAGCATACTTGGTACTAGCTATTAGGAATAAAATATGGAAATACTGAACCTTGGATAATTCTCTAAGTCTTATAGAGGCCAACAGATTAAGGAATACTTTCAAGAGTATCCCTTACACTACTTAGACTACTGGTCATCCTTCCTCTCCAAGACCTTTTTCCTACCTGCTAGGGTAGCCGAAGCTGAAATGCAAATGTTAATTAGTCCTATTTCCACAGTGGCCCCTGGCATGGGTAAATTGGATGATGCCAGCTGTCACAAACATTAAGTTGTAAATGAAAATATTTCTTACAGCAAGTATAAGGATATACTTTACAAGAATATTAAGCATTTCAGAATCAGTAGTGCTTTTGAGTCAGTAGTGCTTTTGCAGTCTAATGGTGAGGTACAAATCTGCTTTTCAACTTTCCTCAAGGGGTAGAATATAAGGATGACCTTTACAGCTAATTTCCAAAGGTAAATTTGCAGATGGGACCTGACCATGTTTCAGGACATATGGAGAAATGTGTATAGAACTATGGCCTGTTTTTCTAGTGTAAAGAGTATTAGAATACAGTCAAACACACGGAAGCTGAGTTCGTACTTAGGGTTCCTCATATGCAGAATGAATTCCGTTAGTCTGTAGGATTACTTGCCTTACATCCAGTAGCTTATTTTGTTGTACTAATCAAAAAACCCCTCTTTGAGAAAGAGTGTGTCAGAGTGAAGTCTCTCCTGATTCCAGCAAAATTGAACCTACGCCCTAAATCGTTGCCCAAAGAGAGACTGTTGGCTGTGTCACAGTGAAAACCCATGATGGGAGGAAAGAGCAGTGTTCAGATTGCTGACTCTGAACCTGTTATTTGGACCTCTGGGATGAATACCTTTAAATGTTGGTGTTATTCCTCATTTTTGTCAGAGTAGAAACACAGTGTGGGCTTCCTGTGGCACTGAGTCTTGCAAACTTGTCTTCTAGCCTGGAGTGTGATGTGCTTCTACTAGCTACATTATTTTTCTATGGCTGATTCTTTTCCCTTGGTAGGATGTGTGTGATTCTAAAAATGCCTTTTACTGCCTGTTTTGCCTGAAGGTCACCACTTGGGAAGTTTTCCCCACTTTTGCAGGAACTATGGCAAGAAGAATGTTATGTTTCTATTATGGTACTTATCATGTTACTGCTTATCATGCTTTTATGAACAGTTTTATAATGGAGCACTTTCGTGATGAGGTAGGGCATGTTGCTGATAACTTACTGAACTGCTGAACCAAGAGAGTGAAGACAGGCAGACAGAAGCAACTCACTATGCTATGAGGCCACCTTGGGCAAACATCTTCAATAGCTTTATAATCATGTGTTACTTCATGGCTACCTGTTTTCTCTATGGGAAGAAGTTCTTCACATGAGAGTTTATTTTAGTAGTGATAGATAAAGCTTCTACTCTCTTCAGGGACTTTTCTTAAAGTTGACTTTACTATAACAACAGACAGTTCTTCAGTTTTCAGTTTTATTGCTATTTCTGCTAGAACACCTCATCCACCAGCTTGGCCCCATAAATGATAGTGGTCTCTCAAAGCATGTCCCACCAGACAAATGAAGACTGTCATTCAGACTTTGCCTCCAGCAATTACCTAGGATTCCCTGGAATAAGAGGACTCAGTGTCATTATCCCCTCCAGAAAACAGCCAGTCCTGAGCATGCAGGGTTGCCAGCCTCAATTTCATCGTTTGCTTTTCTGCTTTTAAATGTTTGCAAACAATAGCAGTCCATGTCACATGTTTTATTCTTTTTAGATTAATGAGGTGGCCTGTTCAAGTTAGACAGGCCATATTAATTTCAGCGAATGCGGTCCTTAGCACCACAAAAGCAAACAAATGATTTTAACTCAACTGGACAAAGAGTCTTGGCATAGTAGGTGCGTAATTGTTGGTTTTTGGATTTGACTGGAGAGTGAGAGTTGTGATTTTGATTCTCCAAAAGCAGACTATATGAGCACCAAGTATATTTTAGGTCATTTAGAAAGTTTGTTGTTTGAACAAATGAGGATAAGACATCCATCAGTTTTTGACACTGCACCAAATCTGCTTGATTTCAAAAGGAACTAACTAAACACTCCATCACAAGAGTCCTGACAAAGATGCACGGATGGCTATATTAACGAGACTGTGTCAAAATGAATAATAATAAATGGCTGTCTTGAGAATCCAACGTAAATTTCCTTATCTAAAATAGTGGTTTGTTTAAATGATGAAGCAAAGATGGCATTGGAGCTGTTGGCTGACTGTCCCTTTTTTTCTGCTAACTGCAGAAGCACGGAATCTGATGCCCTACTTTGTGGGGTAATGGTGTGCTTATCTCCCCCTCCTCAAACAGAGTTTGGCACGTTGCTAATAACAGCCAGCCTACTGCTAAAATATCAATGACAGAACAGAAGAAATAGATATTTAGGAAAACATAAATCAAAGCTGAGGAAGTAGGCAAAAAAAAAGCACTGATAGAAAGCAAATAAAGAAAGATCTATAATATTGGGACAGGCAGCATCTCCCTGCTCACATGGTAATTTTCTTTAGCCAGTAACCAACGAGGATGCCTGCCATGGGAAGAAGGTGTGATTTTGTGATTTAATGATCCAAAGCCCATTTTTAGACACCACTTAGCCATAAAGAGAGGCCCAAGTTTCTGTGGTCCAGGAGTCATTGAGATAAGTATTTATGACAAGGTCCACCCAAACACAAGGGGACACAAGAAGGGGGCATGTCAGGCACAGGGAATTTTCACAGTGGCTTACAAAGGCAAGTCTTACTCTTACCTAACACAGTAGTTCTCCACACTGGCTGCATGTTAGATCCCCACAGAAGAGCTTTTAAAATCCCCAATCCAATATTCTTGGAATTGGGGGGCAGGAGAGAGTAGGAGACCCAGTCATTAGTGGTTTTTAAAGCTCCCCAGTTAAATATTTAACTCCCATTTGAAGAGGGGCTAATAAGCTGAGATTAAGAAATACTGACCTAAAACAACATGACGTAGACAGGCAAATCATTTGTGGAACTCAGGCCAGTTAATTGGTCATCTCCCTGAAACAATTCAAATTGGAGAAAATTCTGTACAAATGTAGTAATAGTGATGTTTTATATGTGTATAGTATTTTAAATTTTAAGGTGTTTTTATGTTCATGTCAGGGTGCTCTCAGGAAAATGCTTAGCATCTTGTAAAACTGCAAATGTTAGATATCATCAACCCAGTGTTATAATTGAGAAAACAAGCAGAGTGCAAGTCTAGGACTTATTTGGAGTCTCACCAAAGAAGTGGCTGGCAAAGCCTAAAATTGGGGCACTGGACACTTTCCTATATTCTTCTATCCTGGGAATCATGATTTCCTTTGAAGAATGCTGTAAAATGTTGAGTGTATTTGTTTTTGTCTGTTATGAACTGTGATTGGCCTCACACATAAATAATGAATTCTTTTAGGTTGCTTTAGGAATGTGTTACTTTAGTATCTCAAATCAATAATACAATCACAAGTGAAACAAGCTGTCAATCTTGCCTAAAGTTTTTAAGTTAGGGTTGTCCTGCATCTGCACCAAGTTTCAAAGGTTTAAGAAAGAGTACTGAGAGGAAAAATTGAGAATGAAGAAAGTTTTATCCATTAACTTAGTTTCTGTTTTTACAAACTGGGATAGATCAAGATTGTTATTTTCTTTTTATGGCTGAATGTTTTAGTACAACTCCAGAGAAACTGGTGTGGAGATGGATAATCTTGAGTATAGGATGACATTGCACCAGCAGATTCCTAATGGTTGACTTAGTAATCAATGAATCCTCCTTCCCAGGCCTCATCAGGGCCACTCTCCCTTAATACTTGAAGTTTTGAGTCAAAACTACATGGCATTTATTGAACACCCACTGTCAGATGTTTCACACATGGTCTCTCATTTAATCCTCAATCACCCTGCCAGGTAATTGTTATCTTTGCTTCATAGATGAGAACATTGAGACTCAGAGATTGTGTAACTTTTCTGAGTCAGATATCTAATGAGTGGCTAATGTAAGACTAAGAGTTAAAGGTTGCCTCTGCACTCCAAGTCATTCATTCTGAGAAGAACTCCAGCTTCCAGTCACCCAAGTTTCCTAGCCATTCTGGTGAATGCTGCTGCATAAGCCCTCTCTTAAGCTTTGGGGAGAGATGAATCCCCCTCCCCTGTGTCATACCCAAAGACATGGCATAGACAAATTTTCTGGGAGGCAGTTTCTCCCATGTATCCAAAAGAAAAGAAAGTGTGCATTGTGTCCTTTAAGTTCTCCACTTCCCTCTTCTCCCATCACCTGAGCCAGGAAGACAGTTGAAAGAAGATTGCTAGAGCTTGAATGAGGGTGGGCCAATTCACCTACTGGACTGCAGAACTCTGGGTGATGCCATTCCTATTTATATTTGAGTGAAATTGCATATTTTTCAGGGCTGTCTTCACCATCCTCAGAGGGGAAAAGGGTTGAGTATGTATTGGGGGGGCTGAGTGCTGTTGAGGATAAATTAAAAATAAGGAAAACATTTGCCCTTTCACTCCAGGCTGCTGGTCAAGATGGTCAAATTACCCTCTCAACAAACTCCAAAATTAGACTTGAGCAAGGGTCCTGGGCCTAACAGATATTGTTTAGACCTGGAAATAGCTCTGAGCAGTAAAACATGTGAAACTTTTTTTTTTTTTAATCTTGGAAATGTTTCCTTATTAGTACTACAGAGCTACGTCTGAAGGCTCTAGGGGAGGATTCTTTTTGCCTCCCAGCTTTTGGGGGCTCCAGGCTTTCCTTGGCTTGTGGCTGCCTTTGTTTTCACATGGCCTTCTTGAAACTTTCTTTAAGAAGACAAATTCTTAAAAGACAGTTTCCGGAATATCAAAGAAGTCATATAAGCCAAAACTGCTGAGTCATCTAAGGATTGATTCAAACATTAAAGAGAGTTATTGCAGCTTTTTAAGGACGATGTTCCAATTTTCTCTCCACCTAACAAAGTGGTAAGGTACATTGGACAGGACAGAGAGGCACCCTTGACTTCTGCGTGTCTCTTCATGGACAGGCAGACCTAGGAAGAATATCCATGGATGAGTCATTTCTCTTCTTTACTTGATAAATTAGGTTGACCTAATCAACCTGATTAGGTTGATCTGGCCAACTTTAAGAAATCCTCTAGTGATCCTTTTCTCTTATCATTAAGCAGAAAAGTGTCTGAACGTCGTGTTGCCCTTAAAGCATAACATTACTTATGTAATTTCCCAGTTGAGAATGCATAACCTGGATCTAATCATTGAGAAATATTAAATCCCACCAAAAAAAAAATGTATTTCTCCACACTCCTTGGTGGCCTCACATGTACACATCCCCAGGGGTCACCCACCCCCCGACCTTGACCCCTCCTTGTGAGCTCAAAAAAAATAGAGAAGAGAATGTATTCTTCAAAAATGTCAAATGTGTGTCTTTTATGGCAAATCAAACCACCTTTTAAAAGAGAGGAAAGACAGACTTGGTGGCACGCCTTTGACCCTCTCTCAAAAAAAAAAAAAAAAGACGGGAAGGAAGAAAGGGAGATCGACTGGAGGCTTTTGCGAGTGGCTGATTTGAAACTGGAACTGTAATTCTTCGGTTCCACTTTAGTTTACTTAAATGTATTCCCTCCCATTTATCCAGAAGGAGTTGGACATGACAAGTGTTCATTGAATTCTTGTTTACTAAAGACTTAAATTCAGGAGTTAGGAAAATACTTGAGGTCATGTTTCCCAATACTTCCTTGTGGGAAGGAAGGATGAAGAAAAGGAAGGAGAAATAAATGATGGCCTGGGAACATCTCTTTAAACTACAGATAGAGCCTAGAGCTAGAATTAGCACTGCAGAGCAGTTGTGCCAGCCATTTCTCCCCGCTATGAATGAAGCTTGCATCTGAGGGTTCAAGCCTAATCTGTAGACAGTGATCTAGGGCACATTCCAGGGTCTCTGATTCTGCCAGTGCTTCTAGTAACACAAACTGACGTTTCTAAACAGAGATGACAGACTCCTAAGAGATGCTGAGAAGCTGTTAAAGGCTAAAGAAGGGAGCAGCATGCACGTTGAACCCATTTGTAGTTTTCACTGGTGTCTGATAATTGCTTATTGCAGAACACAGAAAGCCAAGGTCTGCATGCTTTCAGTTGATGCCATGGAAGTCCCTGCCTTTTCCAGGTAGTTCTGTCCCATGGGGCAGAATATAGAGTGGAGCTCTGAGGAAAAGTCTCCAGATTTTAAATTATATTTTTCTCAAGAGAATTTTCTTTAATGTATGATATACTGGCATTTCCTTTTTGTGTACAGTTTTTCTAGACTGTAAATTAACAAATTATGAATTAATCATACAACATTAAATCTCATCAAACTATTGATAATATTCCAACAAGCACTTTACTACCTGCTGTGTTAAGCAGGGCTTTCTACTATTATTTGATCCACCTAGTTATTTTATTTGCTTTTCTCTGTTCTGGTTTCCCTTCTGCATCCCCATGTCTAGTACAGTGCCTGGCAAATGACATCTAGAACTTCCAGAAGGCTTATTTGGTAAATGGATGAAATGAACATAGAATCTTCTTCATCTTCATCTTTTTATTTCCTTGATTGTTTGATTTTCTCTCGGTTGACTTCAACACCATAGTGATATTCTTGTAAAAGTTTAAGATCATTCTAGAATCTTACAAGCCAATAGCACATCCATGTACCCTATGCGTATTACAGAAGATATGCCCATTAGAAATGTTGGTCAGATTAAAACTTTAATAAATGGAGAGCAGACCTGTTGCTGATGAAGAGACTGCATACCACAAAATTCCCTGTTATTTCTAAGTTAATTTGTAGGTTCAACACAATGCCATATTCCACCAGCGTTGAGGAGAGCCATGAGTAGAAAAGGCATGGGGGGTATAATTTTGTAAAAGTGGTTCTAAAATTCATCCAGAATAATACGTAATAGGGTCAAGATTTATCTTTCCAGACTCTAAACGATAGACTCTGTCTTGAGAAAGAACAAAGTGCATGTGGTACTAGCACAACAATAAGTAGATTTTAAAAATAGAACAAGTAGAGAAAAATACTTTTAAAGGTCAGCTTACTATTTTTAAACTTGGAAAACAGGAATCCGGAGTTCATACCCATAATAATAAATAAACAAGAGAAAAGGGAGGACTGTCGATTACAGTAGAATGTTGAGTACCAACTAATAAATATAGTAGGGGTGTTAGAGTTGGAAAATCCAACTTTATTATTAACTTCATTATTTTGCAACCATCATGATAAAGATTGGTTCACATAAGAATCATCAATGGATACTAAATCTAGGATTAGGGAGGGATAGATTTTGTTGGGGAGCAGGATATGTGTATGGTCTTAAAGTGTCTCCCCACAGCTTGCTTATTAGTTGAAAGAGGAAAATTCTAACTATACAATGATTACTAAGTGAACAAAATTAATATGTCAAATGAGGGACAAATGAACATCATTTGTCACCAGATATGAGACACCAAAGACATAACATCACTTATGTAATATCCCAGCTGGGAATGCATAACCCAGATGTAATCATTAAGAAATATCAGGCAAATCCCACGAAAAGAAAAAGAGAATTTCTTCAAAAATGTTAAATGTCATAAAAGACCAAACAGAAGACTATACCAGATTAAAAGAGATTAGGGAGCCATGACAACTAAATGTAATACCTGATGCTAGACTGAATCCTGTATTGGATCAATTGGTAAATCCAGAATATGTACTTTAGATAAAAATGTTATCAATGTTTACTTGATAACCCTACTATGGTTATATAAGAGAAACTCTTATTTTTAGAAAATGCACACTGAAGGTATATAGAGGTAAATAGATATGGGATATACAACTTAGTTATTCTCAAATGTTCAAGAAGAGGCTCAGAAAAAAATATTTAGGTAGATGATAGAGATATATAGGTAGGTAGTAAAGTAAATAATAAAGCAAATAAAGGCAAAATATTACCAATACATAAATCTGAGCAAAGGGCATATGAATGCACTGTACTATTATTGCAACTTGTGTGTAAGTTTTAAATTATTTCTAAAGTTTAGAAATACATACAGTTATGGTTCCATTTATATGAAGTTCAAGAATAGGCAAAACTAATATTTTATATGAAGTTCAAGAACAGGCAGAACTAATATGTAGTACTAGAGATCAGAATTGAAATTGGCAAGTTACTTCCACAGAGGAGAGGATATTGACTGGGAAGGAGCTCACAGGAGCCATCTGTAATGTTGGAAATGCTCTGTATCTCTATCTGGGTAATGACTACGTGAATGTATATGTTTATATGTAAAATTTTATTGTGTTCACTTAAAACTTATGCACTTATATATGCTATATCTCAGTTCAAAATGAATTTAAAATATTTTTTATTAATTGTCTGTTAAGAGCAAGTCGTGTATGGAAGGGTGGAAATGGAAAGTAAGGGATATAATGAAGGGCTGTCAGATGGGCTCAAAAGTGAGTAATAGAATGGTGCCGAAGAAAAACTTCAAAATTTGCCTCAAAACTTTATAGGTGAAGCAACTATTTTAAAGTACCATAGAACCATGCACAATAGAATAATAATAATATACCTTTACCCACCGTTGCTGAAGGGATTCTAAGTCAGGATTGTCAGAAGAGTTGCTTAGGAAAGATATCCGGGAGACTTGAGCTAGGATTGGAAAGGAAATTTAGAAGTTGGAGGGAAAGGGAAATATACAGCATACTTCTTCCAAATTTATCTTCTTTGACCATTTATGTAAGCTTTTAGGTTTGTGAGGCCTTTGAGACTAGTTTGATCTTCTTTTTAATGCACAAATATAGAACTAAAAAATTAACACCTATAGATAAAGAAATAAATGAACATCTCTCTCTGAGAAGAGGCTTTTAAAAAGGACTGTAGTGATAGATTCTCAAAACATGAGGCTTCGAGATAAGGCTGGCACCTACCAAGTCAACAAACTCAAATCAGCATTTATGGAGGACCTCTCCCATGTCCTGGACATTGTACTAACTCTGGGGAGACCATGATGTGGAGCTCATAGCCCCTGCCTTCCAGGAGCTTATATACTTATAGGATTATGTAACAGAGTAATATTAAGAATGGCAAGTTGGGACTTCTGAACAAAGTGAAATGAGATCATGTTTTTTTTGCACCTCCTTTGCTTCAAAACATAGCAGTGATAGATTAAGTATAAAAATAGACATAGCCATGTTTCACAACAAGATAAACCATAAAAGGAAAAAAAAAAACATAAAGCAGAGAATAAACTGAAGCACAAGACTCCTAGGACATAGGTAAGAAGAAAAATGGTAGCAGTGGGATTTAAGGGGACCAAAATGCTTCACCCAAGAGGAGAGACCAAAGCCAAACTTGTTGCATGAAGCCAGAGGTTCAGAAGGAATTTCACCACTCCAACATCTACATCAAATGAAGACAAGAAAGAAAAACTGTACTGCTGCCTATGGCATTTGCTTGCCTGAGGATGTGGGAGATCACCTTCGAAATTTTATGACACCTAAGGGATAAGTTTTCATTGGCTCAGTAACAGGAATTGCAAAGTCTTCAGTATCACTAAAGGTCAGGATCCCTTGAGGCCATTTTGTACTGCAGGCTCAGAAGCCAGATAGAAGCAACTATGCAAACATCAAATAAGGACAGACGAGCATTGAAATATAAAGACAAATAGAAAATACTGCCTTTTTTTTTTTTTTTTTTTTTTGAGATGGAGTCTCGCTCTATCACCCAAGCTGGAGTGCAGTGGCACGATCTTGGCTCACTACAACTTCCACCTCCTGGGTTCAAGCGAATCTCCTGCCTCAGCCTCCTGAGAGCTGGGACTACAGGTGCGTGCCACCATGCCTGGCTCATTTGTGGTATTTTTAGTAGAGACAGGGTTTCACCATTTTAGCCACGATGATCTCGATATCCTGACCTCGTGATCCACCCGCCTCTGCCTCCCAAAGTGCTGGGATTCCAGGCATGAGCCACCACACCCGGCCCAGAAAATACATTGTTAAGAGGAAATAAAATATCTCCCATTCAAAATCCAAATTCTAAAACATAAAAAATCAATGCAAAGAAAGAGCCAATATGGGTCAGGAGCGGTGGCTCATGCCTATAATCCCAGAACTTTGGGAGGCCGAGGCGGGCGGATCACTTGAGGTCAGGAGCTCAAGACCAGCCTGGCCAAAACAGTGAAACCCTGTCTCTACTAAAAATAAAAACATTAGCTGGGCATGGTGGAGGGCACTTGTAATCCCAGCTACTCAGGAGGCTGAAGCAGGAGAATAGCTTGAACCCAGGAGGCAGAGGTTGCAGTGAGTCAAGATCGTGCCATTGCACTCCAGCCTGGGTGACAGAGTGAAACTGTCTCAAAAAAAAAAAAAAAAAAAAAAGCCAATGTGATCAACAGAACAAATGTCTTCCATATAAAATTAATTTATGCAAGAGTTCAACAAAAGTCTTAATATGTTTAGAATGCTGCTATGGTCTGAATATGTCTTCCTAAAATCAATATGTTGAAACTTAACTGCCAAAGTGATAATATTAAGAGGTGGGACCTTTAGGAGGTGACTAAGTGATGAGGACAAAGCCCTCATGAACAAGATCAGCACCCTGATCGGTTTGAGGTTCAAGGGAGCTATTTGCCCCCTTTTTCCATGTGAAGACACATAAGGAAGTGATATCTTGGAAGCAGAGAGCAGCCCTCACCAGACACCAAATCTGCCAACCCCTTGATTTTTAACTGTTCAGCCTCCAGAACTGTGAATAAAAATAGATTTCTGTTTTTTATAAATTACCCAATCTTAGATATTTTTATAGCAGTAGGAGTGAACTAAAACAGATGCTCAAGGAGGTAAATAAAACTAAATTTTATTCAACATAGCAAGAAATTACAAAATAAAAATAGGCAGATAGGAAACGAATGGATTTCCATGAAGAATTTAAAATGCTAGAAATGAAAAAAAATATTTAATACAAACTTTAGATGACTAAAAGGAGAATTAAGAAAGAAGATAGTACTGAGAAAGTCATACAAACTATAATAAATGTAAATGGATTAAATTTACTTATAAAAGATCGAGATTGTGAGATTAAAGAAATACCAGCTAGATGTCATTAATGAGAGATCTCCTAAAACCACAAAGAAGGGTTTAAAATACTTTGAAAGGAAAACTATGTGTATCAAGAAAATATTAACAAAAAGAAAGCTGGTTGTAGCAAGATTGACATCAGACAGTGTAAGCAAAAACTGTTAGCAGAGATAAAGAGGAACACTAAATAATAATACAAAAAAAAAGGGCTGGGTGCAATGGCTCATGCCTGTAATTCCAGTACTTTTGGAGGCCAAGGTGGGAGGATAACTTGAGTCCAGGAGCTTGAGACCAGCATGCGCAACATAGCAAGACCCCCATCTCTACCAAAAAAAAAAAAAAAAATTAGCTGGGCATGGTGGCATGTACCTGTAGTCCTAGCTACTTGGGAGGCTGAGGTGGGAGGATCACTTGAGCCCAAGAGTTCAAGGTTACAGTGAGCTATGATCATGTCACCATACTCCAGCCTGAGCAACAGAGTGAGACCCTGTCCCTTAAAAAAAAAAAAAGTAAAATCTTTTATCAACAACTGTTATAGTTATTACATGTTGGACACAAACAATTTCATGTACACCAACAGCAGACTAGGCTACTCTGACCATAATGGAGCAAGACAAAAATAAGGTCTCTCTAAAGTTGTGTCCAAACACAGAAAAAACAAGAACAATCCAACCCATTAAAAATGACCAAATATCCCCCTCTTTTAGCTAATATGAGTGATTACTTGTTCACAAATTACAGCCTTTAACTTGCTTTATTCCTCTCATCTCCTATATAAAAATTATTAAGGCGTAATAGAATTGCTCCCACTTCTAGACAGCACTCAATTCAGAGCAAAACAATACTTTGAATTCTCTCCCACATCACCTAACACAAGTTCATATTCCTGTAAACAGCCTTACCCTAACATATTGTTTCGGAAATGCCTCATGGCCTCTTTTGATGTGGCATTTTCCTTACTGCAGCAAGCCACTGAAGGGACTGTTTAATTACAGTGTATTCCTTATGATCTTTGGCTAGAGGATATTGGTAGCTCCATTTAACACATAAGAAAACAGGCACAGAAAGGTTAAGTAACTCAGTTACACAGGATATTGGGCTGCAATCAGTGGTCCTCAATCCTGGCTGAACATCAAGTTCTTTGGAGATAGAGCCTAAGTATTCATATATTTTAAAAGCTCCTTACAGTGATATGCAGCCAAGATTGAGAAACATAGATGATGTCTATAGCAGTACTTCTCAAACTTTCACATCCCTATTTATCACTTGAGAATTTGTTAAATAAAATGCAGATTCTGATTCAGTAATTTTGGGTGGAGCCTGAGATTCCACTTTTCTAACAGTTTAGCAGGTGATGCTGATGCTGCTGGCCAACAGAGCATATTTTGAATAACAGGGTCTAAAGTACCTTACAGCTCCAAATCACTGACTTTCTAGAAAAGTGCTTTGTTTGCCGGGGGCAGTGGCTCCTGCCTGTAATCCTAGCACTTTGGGAGGCTGAGGAGGGCGGATCACCTGAGGTTGGGATTTCAAGACAAGGCTGACCAACATGGAGAAAACCTGTCTCTACTAACAATACAAAAATTAGCCAGGCATGGTGGCAGGTGCCTGTAATCCCAGCTACTCAGGAAGGCTGAGGCAGGAGAATCGCTTGAACCCAGGAGGCGGAGGTTGCAGTGAGCCGAGATCACACTATTGCACTGCAGCCTGGGCAACAAGAGCAAAACTCCGTCTCAAAAAAGAAGAAAAAAAGAAAAAAGTGCTTTGTTTATCAAAAAATTTTATGTATTCATTTATTGAACACGTATAATTTATCCAGCAACATCCTAGGCAGTGGAAATACAACAGTAACCAGACAGAAAATGTCTCTGCCCACCCAAGTATCAGGCTGTCCAACTAAAGCAAGGAGTCTGGAGACCTAGGATCAGCTTTTTATGCTTCCACTGTAGCTTGGTGACTTTGACGATGGTTGGGATCCTGATATCTTCCTTCTAGCATTAACATTTTATTTTATTTTTCCCCTGAATAGTACGATTTGGGGAATCATACGTTGTTTCTAGATGCATTTGTTTGCTAAAATAGCAGGAATGCTGTTGGGGGAGGAAGGAAAACCAATATACAGGTCATGAAAATACAAAGTATGTTGTTATTTTAAAACCACAGCAACTATAATGGAATTTAAAAGTAATTTATTTAGCGTCCACGAGCTAATCCCCCAAAGATTATCACAGTTTTAAAGTAGGTCAGACTCTGAGACTATGTGTCTCTAGACTGTACCTATAATAAGTAAAATTCAAATGTTTTCATGAGACTAGTAAAGCCAGTTTATTTAAAACTGGAATTTTCTTTCTCTTAATGTGTGGTTAGTTCTAAGGGGTGACAAAAGCGAAAAGCAGTCCTTGACACCTGGAAGCTGGCCTGGTACTATCAGCTGGGCCTTGGTGTTCTCCTGTCGAACACAACTCTTTCACAGAAAAACAACATCAGAGAAGGCCACTCAGTGACCCTGATGGATCAAAACAAAACAAGACCACACTGTAATCATGTCTGAACACGAAGCATGAACATTGTCCAAATCACAAAAATGACCAAACATCCCACATTCTAGCTAATGTGAGTGACTTCTGCTTCTTTGACACTTCCAACTTTAGCCTTGGTCTATTCTGTCCTCCTTCTAGACAAGATTTACAAAGTAACTTAATCATAGAATTCTCCTGGCATATAGTGGCCACTCACGATAGAATTGTTGAATAAAACTCCAAATTCTTGATTTCATACACTCCTTTCTTTGACCACTATTTTCTGTTCTAGCTCATCTGCCTTATCTCATATGCACTGATCTTATTGAAAGCAAAGCCTGGCTTTTCATCTTCTCCAGGCCTGGCCTCAGCAGCTGAACATTGCTGGAGAAAAATCACACCACTTGAGGTTCATGAACTTGGGCAGTATCAGACTGCTCACACATATTGTGGGGCTTGTAGGACAGATGATGCAGGATATTTTCCTGGTGGTAATGCTGAGCAGTGTTAAAATCTGGGGAAGGGAAGAGAAGTTTGAGATGGAACTAAAGGTGTGATGGAGAAAGCAGAACTTCCAGTATTCGGTTAGGCAAACATGACCGCCTGGGGCTGGCGGCAGAGGAAGGCCAGGTAAGTTGACACTACTGCTGTTTGTTTAGAAGTGGCTGGAAACACCAGGGGCTGAAACCTTTGCAGAAAACCCTTTTATTTTCTGAAATGATCACTCAGTTCACGCAATTCCAGTGTTCCCATTGCAATGTTTAGCTCTCACTTATAAGTGTACCCAATATTTAGCTCTCACTTATAAATGAGAACATCCAGTATTTGCTTTTCAGTTCCTGCATTAATTTGCTTAGGCCTAGTTGAGAAGAGAGCTCAGTGGAGCTCAGCTAAAGTTTGGTCAAGGAGGGAGTCTTTATCAGAGCTAAGAGGGCAACCCACTTGGGTCCCCTTCCACACTGTGCAAGCTTTGTTCTTTTGCCCTTCACAATAAATCTTGCTGCTGCTAAAAAAAAAAAAAAAAAAAAAAAAAAGAAAGAGTTTAAGTAGATCTGCTGATATCATGGAGGATAGTATAGAAAGTTCATACTGCTGATCTCCAGGTTTCTTTTATGTGAAAGAAAAGTCCAATCCCTAATTTGTTTTGAGAGAAATTGTTGTCTCCAATATGAGCTGAATACAGTTGCTAACTGATACATTCCTAATAACTGACCTCCCGTGAATACTTACCATGGGTTCAATTTTGCTGCACCAAAAACTACTTCGCTTCCTAAAACCATTTTGATGAGCTACCTGTGTTCTGGAGTGCCCTGTGGGGTTGGTCAAAGGTTTGTCAGTCCTGTATCAGGGTTCACCTCCTTCCGCCGCCTCATTCTTCTTGCTCCCTGCCTCTTCTACAGGTATTGATCTCTAAAAAACATCCTGTGCCCCAAACTCCATCTCAGCCTCTGCTTCAGGAGATCTAATCAGATATACACTCTGTGATTTGTACTTTCTAGGGTATATCTGGTTCTAATGCTCAGTGTGGAAATAAAAAGGAAGAAAAAATAGTGTAGAGAGCAAGGACATGGGCAAGCCTGGTTTAAATTCTGTGCTTCCTAGCCATGTAACCTTGAAGTAATGATTTGAGTTTTCACATCTTTGAGAGACAAATAATATTCTCTCCTTTAGATAATTATTATGTGAATTAAAATGAGTTAAGGCTAGGCATGGTGGCTCACACCTGTAATCCCAGCACTTTGGGAGGCCAAGGTGGGTGAATCACTTGAGGTCAGGAGTTTGAGACCAGCTTGGCCAACATGGCAAAACTCCATCTCTACTAAAAATACAAAAATTAGCCGGATGTGGTGGCACATGCCTGTAGTCCCAGCTACTTGGGAGGCTGAGGCAGGAGAATTGCTTGAACCTGGGAGGCAAAGGTTGCAGTGAACTGAGATCACTCCATTGCACTCCAGCCTGGGTGACAAAGTGAGACTATGTCTCAAAAAAAAAAAAAAAAAGAAAAAAAAAAAGTTAATGTTCCAGGCACAGTGGTTCATCCCTGTAATCCCAGTGCTTTGGGAGGCTGAAGTGGGAGAATTACTTGAGGCCAGGAATTCAAGGCCAGGCTGGGCAACATAGCAAGACCCTATCTCTAAAAATTAGCCAGACATGGTAGTGCACACTTGTAGTCCTACCTATTTGGGAGGCTGAGGCAGGAGGATCACTTGAGCTCAGGAATTAGAGGCTGCAGTGAGCTATGATCATGCCACTGCACTCCAGCCTGGGTGTCTGTTACAAAAAAAGTTTAAAAAGTTAAAATAAAATGAACTAATACACGTAAAGTGCCTGGCATATATAATAGTGTATGCTAATAACATTATTACAACTATTCTTTTGGCAAAACCTTATTGTCTTCTCTGCTTCATACAGTGACCTACATAAAAGAGCTATATATCAAATGCTTATTAAGCAGCAAACACTGAGATTTATATGTATTTTCTCATTTAATGCTCATGGGAACCCTATAAGGTGATAGTTGTTGTTACCTCCATTTTACAGGTGAGGAAGTTGAAGCTCAGAGAAGTTGAATAACTTGCCCAAGATCACATAGCAAGTGAGTATTAGAGCCAAGATTCATATCTGGGTCTCTCTGTGTCCAGAAGCTAAAGGCATAACTATTTTGCCGCACAGCCTTCTGTCCTGTGGCTCGTTCCCCACCATGAAACCCTTATATGGGTAGTGGGAGCTAAAATAAAGATGGTTAGTTTAATATTAGGCATTGGAAAATCTCAGGGAGAATAGATATAAAAATATTTACTTATATGCATTTATATTTGTATTTAAAAAATTTTTTGTGTGTGTAGAAAGATAACCTCAACACATGCCCTGGATCAAACTAGGAACATGACTGAAGAATAAAATTGCTCCTCCTGCAAAGATGGAAGAATGTTGAGCTCTGTGAGAGCTCCCCACAGCATGAGGAAATAAAGGGGTTGAAACCAGAGAGAAGCTGAGTGGAGACCAAGCAAGAAGGCAGGAAAGTAGGAGCCAGGAAGAGACAGTGAGTAGCAAGGGACAGGTGGGAGGATTGGCGGAGGAACTTCTGAAAACAGGGATCCCTGATATCTGATATTAACTGACCTGCTGTGTTTACCCACAGGGCCTCCCAACCCCAGCACTGTGATTGCCCCCACAGACCCAGTAGCAAAGGCTCCATAGGAGTGTGAGGTATATTTGGAGAAGGCAAGGAAAGAAAGTTGGATCCAATGTTTGGGTGGATGCAAGGCAGAAAGAAGGAGGTGGCTGCAAGGGACAGCAATCAACAGAAGCAGGAAGTCAGAGCAAGCAATAACTACAAAAAACATGTGCCTTCAAGAATCCCCCCAAATATAGGGGGGGCCAGGATTCTGGAGGACTTGAGACAGTCCAGTGGTGCTAGGTCGGACAGATTAAAAGCCAGCTGGGTGGCTTCCGCTTGGTGTCGACTGCACCTGCACTGGCAGATTCAGGGCCTTGGATGTTCCCACCAAGCCCTTTAAAGGATACTACTGGGGGCAGGGGGAGAGAGAGATGCTGTCCCACCCCGGGTTACCTAGAAGCGTGTAGGGGACAGGGAGGAGGGTTTTCTAAGACTGGGGCTGGCACTTCCTTGGTCTCCCCTTAGGCTCCAGCTCTCACAGTTCTCCAGTGCCTTTGAGATCCTGAAGAAGGGAGAACCTCAGAAAGGGTTGCTGAGGGCTGCAGGGAGTCATGCACATGAGATGGGTCCTGCAAAGACCTAACATTTTCTCTCCTCTAACCACAGTAAAAATAAATGCCTCTAATATCAATACTTACAAGGTTAAGTTCTGCAAGTTAATGGAAATCACTGAAGAGAAGCCACCTGAAGGGAGAAAAACAAGGGGGACATTAACAGCTATCAACTAGTGAGACCCAAGTAAATTAGACTCATAAGATATTGGCTCCCTATAAAAGCAAAAGATGACATCTTGACATATATTCTTGAGTTATTTTTTTCCCCAACAAATGGAAAATGTTGACCACCATCAAGTAGACCTCAGTTAAGAAGGAATTGAGAACTACATTCTGACCATTGTTCTTTGTTCTAAATTTCTTCCTGAGGGTCCTGGAAAAGGTCATGCCCACAGACCACACCTTAACAATTCTTTCTGCTGACCCCAAGTTTTTAGCAAAAGCCTTGCTTCCTTGACCAATTGCAAAATCAAAGAATCTCTGAATTCACCTATGACTTGTAAGCTCCCACTTCAAGATATCCTACCTTTTTGGGCCAAACCAATATGTAACTTCCATGTATTCACCTATGATTTTACTTGTAACTTCTGCTTTCTTAAAATATACCCCTGCCTTTCAAAACCCTTGCTTGTAAGCCATCAGAGAGTTCAGGTCTTAAGCATTAGCTGCCTGATTCTCCTTGCTTGGCACCCTACAATAAATGCAATAATTTCTCTTGCTGCAGATCTTAATATTAGTGTTTGGCTTTTTCTGCACACAGGGCAAGTAGAGCCAAGTTTAGTTTGGTAACACAGCCAAGTCAATCTCCATTTCCCAACCCATGGAACTGTGAGAGATTAATAAATTACTACCTTTGCTTTAAGGTACTAAATTTTGGGGAGATTTGTTATACAGCAATAGAAAACCAATATATTTCATTATATATCTAAATTTCAAGTAAATTTTCATTTGAAAAACTCTTGCTTAAAACAATAACAACAACAAAAAATTATAATAGTCTAATCCAACTTTCTTAATTCATTGACGGAGAAACAAGCCATGAAAGGTCCAGACAGTGACATAACCAAGTCATGGCAGAGCCAAGACTAGCACATAACCTTGATTTCTACTTAATTCCAAAATCTATGGCCTATGCATCTATTACTCTCTATCATTCACTGTTGTCATTTCAATAGAGGTGTTCCTAGTCATTTTCCAGATGGGAAGTGTCATAGCGAGGCTATCTTTCCAGGCTATCTTTCTACTTTCCTGAAGGATTCTATTCAACGAGATTAGATATTCAGGGAAGAAAGTACTAAGAGTGCTGTTTAAAGAAAAGACTGATTTATCCAACCTAGTTATTAAGACAAGTACCAAGATATTCTTAAGTTTAGATAAATATGTTCTTCAGTGTTGATTTGACAGGAAGAGTTGAAGTAAATGGTAAAAGAACTTACTGTTAATCACTACCCTGAATATAATGAATGATGAGTTGGAACTTTATGGGCCTTTTAAAAAATACATGTATTTTATAAACAAGTTTAGAACTCCTCAATCCATTAACTAAAAAGCTTTGCTGCCCAAACATGACAATTTCCTAAACACCAAATCAGTGATTTGCTGCATAAATAAAGCAATCAGAGTGATGAAAATAGAAGGCTTCAGCAAAATCCACTTCTGAAAGCTGCTGCCAAAGGGAGAAGGGAAAAGCATTTTCAAGCTAAAATGTTGACTGAAAATGACCTAGAATAAGCTGAAAATTATCACTTCTCCCTGAAACCTACCGGTTAATTATGCTGTTTCACAGCAAGGTAGGTATAGATGCAGCTGGGATAAAAGAGAAATAAACGCACATTCAGAGAGAATTCAAACCACAATTTCATTGGTGGTATATTACATGCCTTTTTTTTCTAACATAGGCCAGGTTGCAAATGTTATGCTGATTTCAGTAGTAGTTGTGAAATTGCTAGAAAATGGCTACAAGTCTTTGCTCTGTCTTTTCAAATGACCTGTTACCAGATCTCTCATTTCAACACTCCCTTTTCATTGCTTATTTATGTTCCCATCTGGGAGCATATGGCAGTGATGTGGGAGAAGCCCCAGAACTTGCTGAAGTTCTGGTTGCTTCCTCAGACTGTATAGCAAAAACTAGAATGTCTCTTATGTGCAACTGCTGGGGTCACTGCAACTCTAGAGGAACATTCTTTCCCCTCAACGGATTCAAGATATGCTTTATATTATTTAATTTTTATATAAATGTCATCTACTTATTGAAGACAGACATTAATAGGACTGTTAAAACAATTAGAGCAATCATATTAGCTCATGCTGGATGCATGAGCAGGATCATTTACTGAGAAATCAATTTGTAGATTTCCACAACCTTCTCTCCTCAAGTCCTAAACTGGTATTCAGGTCCATAATATTTCCTTGCCTTGGGGATTCTTGTAGAGGAAATAATAGAAAATGCTTACAGCTGAAAACATGTCTTGCTTTTTGTGAAACCCTTGACCTCAACAAAGAGCTCGGTCTAAGATGGGCAGAGGGGAGCACAGAATCCCTAGAAAAGTAGTAGAGAGAGAGACTTCCCCTGAGACAGAGAAGAAGAAAGATCTGTGAATGCAGGCCCACAGCCTGGTTTGTGGCAACACTTTTGGAAAGGACCCTCCAGAGGGGGAGGTATGTGGTGCACTCAGCAGGAGTAGACCCAGGTTTAGGGGCCCAAAACTTCTGGAGGACTCCCTTTAAGGAATTTACACAGAATAAGGCACCAGTGTTAATATTTATTTAGAGTAAAAAAAAAAGATTGCAACAAATGAAAAATTAAAATGTTCTAACAGAAACCACATGCATTATAAAATCCAGAAAAAAAGTGATAGATTGATTAATTAACTGCCCACCACACTTCTATAATTTTTTTCTCTATATTTTTAATTGTAAATTCTTTTATCTCTTTTTTCATATAAAAGTTCTGTAACATTATTTTCTATAGAGAAAATGGAAAGATTGTATATTATCTAACATGGCTGATTGAAACTGTTAATGTTTTATTTTTTATTTGTTTTTAATTTTTATGGACATATAGGTATATACATTTATGGGGTACATGACATATTTTGATAGAGGCATACAATAATCACAGGATAATAATCACATCAGGATAAATGGGGTATCCATCACTTCAAGCATTCATCTTTTCTTTGTGTTAAAAATAATTGAATTATACTCTTAGTTATTTATAAATGTACAATAAATTACTGTTGTCTGTAGCCACCCTGTTGTGCTATCAAATACCAGATCTTATTCTTTTTTTTTTTTTTGAGACAATCTTGCTCTGTTGCCCAGGCTGGAGTGCAGTGGCAGGATGTCGGCTCACTGCAACCTCTGCTTCCCAGGTTCAAGAGATCCTCCTGCCTCAGTCTCCCGAGTAGTTGGGATTACAGGCATGTGCCATGATGCCCGGCTAATTTTCCTATTTTTAGTAGAGACAGAGTTTCACCATGTTGGCCAGGCTGGTTTTGAACTTCTGACCCCAAGTGATCTGCCTGCCTCTGCCTCCCATGTAGATCTTATTCATTCTATCTAACTATATTTTTGTACCCACTAACCACCCCCACTTTTTCCCACCCCCACTACCCTTTCCAGCCTCTGGTAACCATCATTCTATTAATACTTTCTATCTCCATGAATTCACTTGTTTTAATTTTTAGCTTCCATACATGAGTGAGAATATATGAAATTTGACTCTCTGTACCTGGCTTATTTCACTAAACATAATGTCCTCCAATTCCATCCATGTTGCAAATGAAAGTATCTGATTCTTTTTTATGGCTGAATAATACTCCACTGTGTATATGTACTACTTTTTCATTATCCATTTGTCCATTGATGGACACTTAGGTTGCTTCTAAATCTTGGCTATTGTGATTAGTGCTGCAATAAACATAGGAGTGCAGATATTTCTTTGATATGCTGATTTCCTTTCTTTGGGATGTATACCTAGCAGTAAAATTGCTGGATCATATGATACTTCTGTTTTAGGTTTTTGAGGAACCTCCAAACTGTTTTCCATACTGGCTGTACTAACTTACATTCTCACCAACAATGTGTGAGGGTTTCCTTTTCTCTACATCCTTGCCAGCATTTGTTATTGCCTATCTTTTGCATAAAAGCCATTTTTACTGCAGTGAGATAATATCTCATTGTAGTTTTGATTTGCATTTCTCTGATGATCAATGATGTTAAGCACCTTTTCATATACCCGTTTGCCATTTGTATGTCTTCTTTTGAGAAATGTCTATTCAGATTTTTTGCCCATTTTTAAATTGTCTCATATTTTTTCCTATAGAGTTGTTTGAACTCCTTATTCTGGTTATTAATCCTTTGTCAGATGGATAGTTTGCAAATATTTTCTCCCATTCTGTGGGTTGTCTCTTCACTTTGTTGATTGTATCCTTTACTGCACAGAGGCTTTTCCATTTGATGTGATCCCATTTGTCCATTTTTGCTTTGGTTGCCTGTGCTTGTGGAATATTACTCAAGAAATCTTTGCCTAATTGCTCTAAGACTTCCAGTATTATGTTGAATAAGAATGCTGACAGTGGGCATCCTTGCTGTGTTCCAGATCTTAGAGGAAAAGATTTCCATTTTTCTCCATTCAATATGATACTAGCTGTGGGTCTGCCTACATTGCTTTTATTGTGTTGAGGTATGTTCATTCTAGACCCAGTTTTTTGATGGTTTTTATCATGAAGAAATGTTGAATTTTATTAAATGCCTTTTCAGCATCAATTGAAATGATCATATGATTTTTATTCTTTATTCTGTTGATATGATGTATCACATTGATCGATTTGTGTATGTTGAACTGTCTTTGCATCCAAGGGATGAATCTCACTTGGTCATGGTGAATGATCTTTTTAATATGTTGTTAATTTTGGTTTGCTAGTATTTTGTTGAAGATTTTTGCATCAATATTCATGAGGGATATTGGCCTGTAGTTTTTTAAAATGTATCTTAGTCTGGTTTTGGTATCAGGGTAATACTGGCTTTATAGAATGAATTTGGAAGTATTCCTTCCTCCACTTATTTTTTGAGTTTGAGAATTGGTTTCATTCTTCTTTAAATATTTAGTAGAATTCAGCAATGAAGCCATCAGGTTTAAGCTTTTCTTTGCCAGGAGACTTTTTATTATGGCTGTGATCTCATTACTTGTTATTGGTCTTTTCAGGTTTTGGATTTTTTCACAGTTCAGTATTTGTAGGTTGTATGTGTCTAAGAATTTATCCATTTCTTCTAGATTTTCAATTTGCTGGCAGATAGTTGCTCATAGTAGTCTCTAATGATCCTGTGAATTTTTGCAGTGTCAGTTGTAATGTCTCCTTTTTCATCTCTGATTTTGAATTTTCTTTTTTTCTTAGCCTAAAGATTTGTCAATTTTATCTTTTCAAAAAAATCAATGTTTCATTTTGTTGTTCTGTTCTGTTTTTTGTTTCAGTTTCATTTATTTCTGCTTGATATTTATTATTTATTTTCATCTACTAATTTTGAGTTTGCTTTGCTCTTGCTTTTCTAGTTCTTTAAGATGCAATATTGGGTTATTTGAAATTTTTCTACATTTTTGATTTAGGTAATTTTGGCTATAAACTTTCCTCTTAGTGCTGCTTTCACTGAATCCCATGTTTTGATGTGTTGTGTTTTCATTTTTGTTTAAGACATTTTAAAATTTCCTTCTTCATTTCTTCATTGATCCACTGGTCATTCAGGAGCATATCGTTTAATTTCCGTGTGTTTATTTAGTTTCCAAATTTCCTCTTGTTATTAGTTTCTAGTTTTATTTATTTGTGGTTAGAGAAGACACTTGATATGATTTCCATTGAAAAAATTAAGTCTTGTTTTGTGGCCTAACATATGGCCTATCCTTGAGAATGATCCATGTGCTGAGGAAAATAATGTATATTCTGCAGCCATTGGCTGAAATGTTTTACAAGTATCTAATCTATTAGATCTATTTGATCTATAATGCAGATTAAGCCCAATGTTTCTTTGTTGGTATTCTGTCTGGAAGATCTGTCCAGTGCTGAAAGTGGGGGTGCTAAAGTCTCCAGCTATTATTATATTGGGGTCTATCGCTCTCATTAGCTCTAATAGTATTTGCTGTATATTATATCTGGGTGCCTTAGTGTTGGGTTCATATATGTTTACAATATCCTCTTACTGAATTGACTCCTTTATTGTCATATAATGACCTTCTTTGTCCTTTTTATAGTTTTTGTTTTGAAATTTATTTTGTCTGGTGTAAGTATAGCTACTCCTACTCCTTTTTGACTTCCATTTGACTTCCATGGAATATCTTTTTCTATCCCTTTAGTTTTAGTCTGTGTGTGTCTTTATAGGTGTAGTATGTTTCTTGTAGGCAACAGATTGTTGGGTCTTATTTTTTAATCAGTTTAGCCACTCTGTTTTTGTTGTTGCTGTGATTTGTTTGTTTGTTTTTAGAGACTGGGACTCACTCTGTTGCCCAGGCAGGCATGCAGTGGTGCACAGTTATAACTCACTGTAACCTCAAACAGCTGGGTTCAAGCAATCCTCCCACCTCAGTTTCCCGAGTAGCTGGGACTACAAGTGTGCACCACCACACCTGGCTAATTTTATTTTTTGTAGAGATGAGGTCTCACTATGTTGCCCAGGCTGGTCTTAAACACCTGGGCTCAAAGCAATTCTCCCACCTCAGCCTCCCAAAGTACTGAGATTGTAGGCATGAGCCACTGTGCCTAGGCCACACCCTATGTCTTTCGATTGGAGAGTTTAGCCTGTTTACATTCGATGTTGTTAGTAATAGATAAGGGCTTAATACAGCAATTTGGTTATTTGTTTTCTGGTTGTTTTGTGGCCTTCCCTCCCTCCTTCCCTCCCTTTCTTCCTTCCTTCCTTCTTTCTTTCCTTCCTTCCTTCCTTCCCTCCTTCCTTCCTCCTTTCTTCCCTTCTTCCTTCCATCCATCCTTCCTTCCTTTTTTGTGAAGGTGATTTTCTCTGGCAGTAGGTTTTAATTTCTTGCTTTTTATTTTTAGTTTCTTTGGATCTGTTATAGGTTTCTTGATTTAACGTTACCACAAGGCTTAAAAATAACATCTTATAACCCATTATTTTAAACTGATGACAACTTACCATTGACTGCAGAAAAAAACTAACTAATGAAGAAGCAGAGAGAAAATTAATAAAAACTCTACACTTTAACTTCATTCCCCCTGCTTTTTAACTTTTTGTTACTATTTATACCTTATTGTACTGTCTATGTCCTGAAAAGTTGCTGTAGTTATTATTTTTGAGAGGTTCAAATTTTAGTCTTTCTACAACATATGAGTAGCTTACACACTACAATTACAGTGTTATAATATTCTGTGTTTTTCTGTGTACTTACTATTATGTGTGAGTTTTGTACATTCAGATGATTTCTTATTGCTCATTAACATTCTTTTCTTTTACATTGAAGAACTGCCTTTAGCAATTCTTGTGGGATAGGCCAGGTGTTGATGAAATCCATCAGCTTTTGTTTGTCTGGGTTAGTTTTTATTTCTTCTTTATGTTTAAATGATATTTTCACTCAGTATACTATTCTAGAATAAAAGTTTGTTTCCTTCAGCTCCTTAAATACCACTCTCTCCTGGACTGTAAGGTTTCCACTGAGAATTCTATTGTATTCTATTGTTTGTATTCTATTGTATGTATTCTATTGTATGTATTGGAGCTCCTTTGTATGTTATTTATTTCTTTTCTCTTGCTGCTTTTAGGGTTTTTTCCTTTATCTTTGATCTTTGGGACTTTGATTATTAAGTGCTTTGAGGTAGTCTTATTTCACTTAAATCTGCTTGGTGTTCTATAAACTTCTTGGATTTGAATATTAATATATTTCTCTAGGTTTGGAAAGTTTATTTGTTATTATCTGTTTGAATAAACTTTCTACCCCGATCTCTCTCTTTACCTCCTCTTTAAGACCAATAACTTTTAGATTTTGAGGATATTTTCTATATCCTCTAGTTTCAATAACTCTTAGATTTTTCCCTTTTGAGGCTATTTTCTATATCCTCTAGTCATGCTTCATTCTTTTTTATTCTTTTTTCTTTTGTCTTCTCTCACTCTATATTTTCAAATAGCCTGTCTTCAAGCTCACTAATCCTTTCTTTCACTTGATCAATTCTGCTGTTGAGAGACTCTGATGCATTCTTCAGTATGTCAATTGTATTTGTCAGCTCTGGAATTTCTGCTTGATTTTTAAAAAATTATTTCAATCTCTTTGTTAAGTTTATCTGACAGGATTCTGGAATGTTTCTCTGTGTTATCTTGAATTTCATTGAGCTTCCTCAAAACAGCTATTTTGAATTTTCTGTCTGAAAAGTCACATATCTTTGTCACTCTAGGATTGGTCACTGGT